>NC_000014.9:18015376-18173523 GCF_000001405.40 Homo sapiens | reverse complement strand
TCTGTCTAGTTTTTATGGGAAGACATTCCCTTTTTCACCAAAGGCATCAAAGCGCTCCAAATGTCCACTTCCAGACACTACAAAAAGAGTGTTTCCAACGTGCTCTAAGAAAGCGAATGTTCAACTCTGTGACTTGAATGCAGATATCACAAAGTAGTTTCTGAGAGGGCTTCTGTCTAGATTTTAGATGATGATATTCCCGTTTCCAACGAAATCATTAGAGCTATCCAAATATCCACTTACAGTTTCTACAAAAAGAGTGTTTCCAAACTGCTGCATCAAAAGAGAGGTTCCACTCTGTTAGCTGAGTACACACATCTCAAACTTGTTTCTCAGAATCCTTCTGTCTCGTTTTTATGGGAAGATATTTACTTTTTCACCGTAGGCATCAAAGCGCTCCAAATGTCCACATCCAGATACTCCGGAAAGAGTGTTTCAAACCTGCTCTATGAAAGGGAATCTTCAACTCTATGAGTTGAATGCAGACATCAGAAAGAAATTTCTGAGAATGCTGCTGTCTACCTTTTATTTGAATTCCCGCTTCCAACGAAATCCTCCAAGCTATCCAAATATCCACCTGCATTTTCCACAAAAAGAGAGTTTCAAAACTGCTCTATCAATAGAAATGTTCAACTCCTTTGGCTGGGTACACACAGCACAAACAAGTTTCTGAGAATGCTTCTGTCTATTTTTTATAGGAAGATATTTCCTTTTTCACGGTAGGCCTCAAGGCGATCGAAATGTCCACTTCTACAATCTAAAAAAAGAGTGTTTCAAACCTGCTCTATGAAAGGCCATGTTCATCTCTATGAGTTGAATGGAAATATCCGAAAGAAATTTCTGGGAATGCTGCTGTCTAGTGTTTATACGAATTCCCGCTTCCAACGAAATCCTCAAAGCAATCCAAATATCCACTTGCAGAATCCACAAAAAGAGTGTTTCAAAACTGCTCTATCAATAGAAAGGTTCAACTCTTTTAGTTGAGTACACACATCACAAACAAGTTTCTGAGAATGCTTCTGTCTGGCTTTTATTGGAAGACGTTTCCTTTTCACCAAAGGCATCAAAGCGCTCCAAATGTCCACTTCCAGATTCTTCCAAAAGAGTGTTTCAAACGTGCTCGAAGTAAGGGAATCTTCTACTCTGTGACTTGAATGCAGATATCACCAAGTAGTTTCTAATAGTTCTTCTGTCTAGATTTTAGATGATTATATTCCCGTTTCCAACGAAATCGTTAGAGCTATCCAAATATCCAGTTACAGTTTCTACCAAAAGGGTGTTTCCAAATTGCTGCATCAAAAGAAAGGTTCAACTCTGTTAGTTGAGGACACACATCACAAAGAAGTTTGTGAGAATGCTTCTGTCTAGATTTTGTATGACCATATTCCCTTTTCCAACGATATCGTTAAAGCAATCTAAATATCAATTTGCAGAATCCACAAAAATAGAGTTTCAAAGCTGCTCTGTAAAAAGAAAGGTTCCACTCTGTTAGCTGAGTACACACATCACAAACTTGTTTACTGAGAATCCTTTCTGTCTCGTTTTTATGGGAAGATATTTACTTTTCCACCGTAGGCATCAAAGCGCTCCAAATGTCCACATCCAGATACTCCAGAACGAGTGTTTCAAACCTGCTCTATGAAAGGGAATCTTCAACTCTATGAGTTGAATGCAGACATCAGAAAGAAATTTCTGAGAATGCTGCTGTCTACCTTTTATTTGAATTCCCGCTTCCAACGAAATCCTCCAAGCTATCCAAATATCCACCTGCATTTTCCACAACAAGAGTGTTTCAAAACTGCTCTATCAATAGAAATGTTCAAATCCTTTGGCTGGGTACACACATCACAAACAAGTTTCTGAGAATGCTTCTGTCTAGTTTTTATGGGTAGACATTCCCTTTTTCACCAAAGGCATCAAAGCGCTCCAAATGTCCACTTCCAGACACTACAAAAAGAGTGTTTCAAACGTGCTCTAAGAAAGCGAATGTTCAACTCTGTGACTTGAATGCAGATATCACAAAGTAGTTTCTGAGAGTGCTTCTGTCTAGATTTTAGATGATGATATTCCCGTTTCCAACGAAATCATTACAGCTATCCAAATATCCACTTACAGTTTCTACAAAAAGAGTGTTTCCAAACTGCTGCATCAAAAGAGAGGTTCCACTCTGTTAGCTGAGTACACACATCACAAACTTGTTTCTCAGAATCCGTCTGTCTAGTTTTTATGGGAAGATATTTACTTTTTCACCGTAGGCATCAAAGCGTTCCAAATGTCCACATCCAGATAGTACAGAAAGAGTGTTTCAAACCTGCTCTATGAAAGGGAATGTTCAACTCTATGAGTTGAATGCAAACATCACAAAGAAATTTCTGAGAATGCTGCTGTCTACCTTTTATTTGAATTCCTGCTTCCAACGAAATCCTCCAAGCTATCCAAATATCCACTTGCAGATTCCACAAAAAGAGTGTTTCAAAACTGCTCTCTATCAATGGCAAAGTTCAACTCTATTAGTTGAGGACACATATCACCAACAAGTTTCTGAGAATGCTTCTGTCTATTTTTTATGGGAAGATATTTCCTTTTTCACCGTAGGCGTCAAGGCGATCGAAATGTCCACTTCCACAAACTACAAAAAGAGTGTTTCAAACCTGCTCTATGAAAGGCCATGATCATCTCTATGAGTTGAATGGAAATATCCGAAAGAAATTTCTGGGAATGCTGCTGTCTAGTTTTTATACGAATTCCCGCTTCCTACGAAATCCTCAAAGCAATCCAAATATCCACTTGCAGAATCCACAAAAAGAGTGTTTCAAAACTGCTCTATCAATAGAAAGGTTCAACCCTTTTAGTTGAGTACACACATCACGAACAAGTTTCTGAGAATGCTTCTGTCTGGCTTTTATTGGAAGACGTTTCCTTTTCACCAAAGGCATCAAAGCGCTCCAAATGTCCACTTCCAGATTCTTCCAAAAGAGTGTTTCAAACGTGCTCAAAGTAAGGGAATGTTCAACTCTGTGACTTGAATGCAGATATCACCAAGTAGTTTCTAATAGTGCTTCTGTCTAGATTTTAGATGATGATATTCCCGTTTCCAACGAAATCGTTAGAGCTATCCAAATATCCAGTTACAGTTTCTACCAAAAGGGTGTTTCCAAATTGCTGCATCAAAAGAAAGGTTCAACTCTGTTAGTTGAGGACACACATCACAAACAAGTTTGTGAGAATGCTTCTGTCTATATTTTGTATGACCATATTCCCTTTTCCAGCGATATCATTAAAGCAATCTAAATATCCATTTGCAGAATCCACAAAAATAGAGTTTCAAAGCTGCTCTGTAAAAAGAAAGGTTCCACTCTGTTAGCTGAGTACACACATCACAAACTTGTTTCTCAGAATCCTTCTGTCTCGTTTTTATGGGAAGATATTTACTTTTCCACCGTAGGCATCAAAGCGCTCCAAATGTCCACATCCAGATACTCCAGAACGAGTGTTTCAAACCTGCTCTATGAAAGGGAATCTTCAACTCTATGAGTTGAATGCAGACATCAGAAAGAAATTTCTGAGAATGCTGCTGTCTACCTTTTATTTGAATTCCCGCTTCCAACGAAATCCTCCAAGCTAACCAAATATCCACCTGCATTTTCCACAACAAGAGTGTTTCAAAACTGCTCTATCAATAGAAATGTTCAACTCTTTGGCTGGGTACACACATCACAAACAAGTTTCTGAGAATGCTTCTGTCTAGTTTTTATGGGTAGACATTCCCTTTTTCACCAAAGGAATCAAAGCGCTCCAAAAGTCCACTTCCAGACACTACAAAAAGAGTGTTTCAAACGTGCTCTAAGAAAGCGAATGTTCAACTCTGTGACTTGAATGCAGATATCACACAGTAGTTTCTGAGAGTGCTTCTGTCTAGATTTTAGATGATGATATTCCCGTTTCCAACGAAATCATTAGAGCTATCCAAATATCCACTTACAGTTTCTACAAAAAGAGTGTTTCCAAACTGCTGCATCAAAAGAGAGGTTCCACTCTGTTAGCTGAGTACACACATCACAAACTTGTTTCTCAGAATCCTTCTGTCTCGCTTTTATGGGAAGATATTTACTTTTTCACCGTAGGCATCAAAGCGCTCCAAATGTCCACATCCAGATACTCCAGAAAGAGTGTTTCAAACCTGCTCTATGAAAGGGAATGTTCAACTCTATGAGTTGAATGCAGACATCAGAAAGAAATTTCTGAGAATGCTGCTGTCTACCTTTTATTTGAATTCCCGCTTCCAACGAAATCCTCCAAGCTATCCAAATATCCACTTGCAGATTCCAGAAAAAGAGTGTTTCAAAACTGCTCTCTATCAATGGCAAAGTTCAACTCTGTTAGTTGAGGACACATATCACCAACAAGTTTCTGAGAATGCTTCTGTCTATTTTTTATGGGAAGATATTTCCTTTTTCAGCGTAGGCGTCAAGGCGATCGAAATGTCCACTTCCACAAACTACAAAAAGAGTGTTTCAAACCTGCTCTATGAAAGGCCATGTTCATCTCTATGAGTTGAATGGAAATATCCGAAAGAAATTTGCTGGGAATGCTGCTGTCTAGTTTTTATATGAATTCCCGCTTCCAACGAAATCCTCAAAGCAATCCAAATATCCACTTGCAGAATCCACAAAAAGAGTGTTTCAAAACTGCTCTATCAATAGAAAGGTTCAACTCTTTTAGTTGAGTACACACATCACAAACAAGTTTCTGAGAATGCTTCTGTCTGGCTTTTATTGGAAGACGTTTCCTTTTCACCAAAGGCATCAAAGCGCTCCAAATGTCCACTTCCAGATTCTTCCAAAAGAGTGTTTCAAACGTGCTCAAAGTAAGGGAATGTTCAACTCTGAGACTTGAATGCAGATATCACCAAGTAGTTTCTAATAGTGCTTCTGTCTACATTTTAGATGATGATATTCCCGTTTCCAATGAAATCGTTAGAGCTATCCAAATATCCAGTTACAGTTTCTACCAAAAGGGTGTTTCCAAATTGCTGCATCAAAAGAAAGGTTCAACTCTGTTAGTTGAGGACACACATCACAAAGAAGTTTGTGAGAATGCTTCTGTCTAGACTTTAGATGATGATATTCCCGTTTCCAACGAAATCATTAGAGCTATCCAAATATCCACTTACAGTTTCTACAAAAAGAGTGTTTCCAAACTGCTGCATCAAAAGAGAGGTTCCACTCTGTTAGCTGAGTACACACATCACAAACTTGTTTCTGAGAATCCTTCTGTCTCGTTTTTATGGGAAGATATTTACTTTTCCACCGTAGGCATCAAAGCGCTCCAAAATGTCCACATCCAGATACTCCAGAACGAGTGTTTCAAACCTGCTCTATGAAAGGGAATCTTCAACTCTATGAGTTGAATGCAGACATCAGAAAGAAATTTCTGAGAATGCTGCTGTCTAGCTTTTATGTGAATTCCCGCTTCCAACGAAAAACTCCAAGCTATCCAAATATCCACTTGCAGATTCCACAAAAAGAGTGTTTCAAAACTGCTCTATCAATAGAAATGTTCAACTCCTTTCGCTGGGTACACAGATCACAAACAAGTTTCTGAGAATGCTTCTGTCTAGTTTTTATGGGAAGACATTTCCTTTTTCACCAAAGGCATCAAAGAGCTCCAAATGTCCACTTCCAGATATACAAAAAGAGTGTTTCAAAAGTGCTCTAAGAAAGCGAATGTTCAACTCTGTGACTTGAATGCAGATATCACAAAGTAGTTTCTGAGAGTGCTTCTGTCTAGATTTTAGATGATGGTATTCCCATTTCCAACGAAATCATTAGAGCTATCCAAATATCCACTTACAGTTTCTACAAAAAGTGTGTTTCCAAACTGCTGCATGAGAAGAGAGGTTCCACTCTGTTATCTGAGTACACACATCACAAACTTGTTTCTGAGAATCCTTCTGTCTCGTTTTTATGGGAAGATATTTACTTTTTCACCGTAGGTATCAAAGCGCTCCAAATGTCCACGTCCAGATACTCCAGAAAGCGTGTTTCAAACCTCCACTATGAAAGGGAATCTTCAACTCTATGAGTTGAATGCAGACATCAGAAAGAAATTTCTGAGAATGCTGCTGTCTACCTTTTATTTGAATTCCCGCTTCCAACGAAATCCTCCAAGCTATCCAAATATCCACTTGCAGATTCCACAAAAAGAGTGTTTCAAAACTGCTCTCTATCAATGGCAAAGTTCAACTCTGTTAGTTGAGGACACATATCACCAACAAGTTTCTGAGAATGCTTCTGTCTATTTTTTATGGGAAGATATTTCCTTTTTCACCGTAGGCGTCAAGGCGATCGAAATGTCCACTTCCACAAACTACAAAAAGAGTGTTTCAAACCTGCTCTATGAAAGGCCATGTTCATCTCTATGAGTTGAATGGAAATATCCGAAAGAAATTTCTGCGAATGCTGCTGTCTAGTGTTTATACGAATTCCCGCTTCCAACGAAATCCTCAAAGCAATCCAAATATCCACTTGCAGAATCCACAAAAAGAGTGTTTCAAAACTGCTCTATCAATAGAAAGGTTCAACTCTTTTAGTTGAGTACACACATCACGAACAAGTTTCTCAGAATGCTTCTGTCTGGCTTTTATTGGAAGACGTTTCCTTTTCACCAAAGGCATCAAAGCGCTCCAAATGTCCACTTCCAGATTCTTCCAAAAGAGTGTTTGAAACGTGCTCAAAGTAAGGGAATGTTCAACTCTGTGACTTGAATGCAGATATCACCAAGTAGTTTCTAATAGTGCTTCTGTCTAGATTTTAGATGATGATATTCCCGTTTCCAACGAAATCGTTAGAGCTATCCAAATATCCACTTACAGTTGCTACAAAAACAGTGTTTCCAAACTGCTGCATCAAAAGAAAGGTTCAACTCTGTTAGTTGAGGACACACATCACAAAGAAGTTTGTGAGAATGCTTATCTGTCTAGAATTTTGTATGACCATATTCCCTTTTCCAGCGATATCATTAAAGCAATCTAAATATCCATTTGCAGAATCCACAAAAATAGAGTTTCAAAGCTGCTCTGTAAAAAGAAAGGTTCCACTCTGTTAGCTGAGTACACACATCACAAACTTGTTTCTCAGAATCCTTCTGTCTCGTTTTTATGGGAAGATATTTACTTTTCCACCGTAGGCATCAAAGCGCTCCAAATGTCCACATCCAGATACTCCAGAACGAGTGTTTCAAACCTGCTCTATGAAAGGGAATCTTCAACTCTATGAGTTGAATGCAGACATCAGAAAGAAATTTCTGAGAATGCTGCTGTCTACCTTTTATTTGAATTCCCGCTTCCAACGAAATCCTCCAAGCTATCCAAATATCCACCTGCATTTTCCACAAAAAGAGTGTTTCAAAACTGCTCTATCAATAGAAATGTTCAACTCCTTTGGCTGGGTACACACATCACAAACAAGTTTCTGAGAATACTTCTGTCTAGTTTTTATGGGAAGACGTTCCCTTTTTCACCAAAGGCATCAAAGCGCTCCAAATGTCCACTTCCAGACACTACAAAAAGAGTGTTTCAAACGTGCTCTAAGAAAGCGAATGTTCAACTCTGTGACTTGAATGCAGATATCACAAAGTAGTTTCTGAGAGGGCTTCTGTCTAGATTTTAGATGATGATATTCCCGTTTCCAACGAAATCATTAGAGCTATCCAAATATCCACTTACAGTTTCTACAAAAAGTGTGTTTCCAAACTACTGCATCAAAAGAGAGGTTCCACTCTGTTAGCTGAGTACACACATCACAAACTTGTTTCTGAGAATCCTGCTGTCTACCTTTAATTTGAATTCCCGCTTCCAACGAAATCCTCCAAGCTATCCAAATATCCACTTGCAGATTCCACAAAAAGAGTGTTTCAAAACTGCTCTCTATCAATGGCAAAGTTCAACTCTGTTAGTTGAGGACACATATCACCAACAAGTTTCTGAGAATGCTTCTGTCTATTTTTTATGGGAAGATATTTCCTTTTTCACCGTAGGCGTCAAGGCGATCGAAATGTCCACTTCCACAAACTACAAAAAGAGTGTTTCACACCTGCTCTATGAAAGGCCATGTTCATCTCTATGAGTTGAATGGAAATATCCGAAAGAAATTTCTGGGAATGCTGCTGTCTAGTTTTTATACGAATTCCCAGCTTCCAACGAAATCCTCAAAGCAATCCAAATATCCACTTGCAGAATCCACAAAAAGAGTGTTTCAAAACTGCTCTATCAATAGAAAGGTTCAACTCTTTTAGTTGAGTACACACATCACAAACAAGTTTCTGAGAATGCTTCTGTCTGGCTTTTATTGGAAGACGTTTCCTTTTCACCAAAGGCATCAAAGCGCTCCAAATGTCCACTTCCAGATTCTTCCAAAAGAGTGTTTCAAACGTGCTCGAAGTAAGGGAATGTTCTACTCTGTGACTTGAATGCAGATATCACCAAGTAGTTTCTAATAGTGCTTCTGTCTAGATTTTAGATGATGATATTCCCGTTTCCAACGAAATCGTTAGAGCTATCCAAATATCCACTTACAGTTGCTACAAAAACAGTGTTTCCAAACTGCTGCATCAAAAGAAAGGTTCAACTCTGTTAGTTGAGGTCACACGTCACAAAGAAGTTTGTGAGAATGCTTCTGTCTAGTATTTTGTATGACCATATTCCCTTTTCCAGCGATATCATTAAAGCAATCTAAATATCCATTTGCAGAATCCACAAAAATAGAGTTTCAAAGCTGCTCTGTAAAAAGAAAGGTTCCACTCTGTTAGCTGAGTACACACATCACAAACTTGTTTCTGAGAATCCTCTGTCTCGTTTTTATGGGAAGATATTTACTTTTCCACCGTAGGCATCAAAGCGCTCCAAATGTCCACATCCAGATACTCCAGAACGAGTGTTTCAAACCTGCTCTATGAAAGGGAATCTTCAACTCTATGAGTTGAATGCAGACATCAGAAAGAAATTTCTGAGAATGCTGCTGTCTACCTTTTATTTGAATTCCCGCTTCCAACGAAATCCTCCAAGCTATCCAAATATCCACCTGCATTTTCCACAACAAGAGTGTTTCAAAACTGCTCTATCAATAGAAATGTTCAACTCCTTTGGCTGGGTACACACATCACAAACAAGTTTCTGAGAATGCTTCTGTCTAGTTTTTATGGGAAGACATTCCCTTTTTCACCAAAGGCATCAAAGCGCTCCAAATGTCCACTTCCAGACACTACAAAAAGAGTGTTTCAAACGTGCTCTAAGAAACCCAATGTTCAACTCTCTGACTTGAATGCAGATATCACAAAGTAGTTTCTGAGAGGGCTTCTGTCTAGATTTTAGATGATGATATTCCCGTTTCCAACGAAATCATTAGAGCTATCCAAATATCCACTTACAGTTTCTACAAAAAGAGTGTTTCCAAACTGCTGCATCAAAAGAGAGGTTCCACTCTGTTAGCTGAGTTCACACATCACAAACTTGTTTCTCAGAATCCTTCTGTGTCGTTTTTATGGCAAGATATTTACTTTTTCACCGTAGGCATCAAAGCGCTCCAAATGTCCACATCCAGATACTCCAGAAAGAGTGTTTCAAACCTGCTCTATGAAAGGGAATCTTCAACTCTATGAGTTGAATGCAGACATCAGAAAGAAATTTACTGAGAATGCTGCTGTCTACCTTTTATTTGAATTCCCGCTTCCAACGAAATCCTCCAAACTATCCAAATATCCACTTGCAGATTCCACACAAAGAGTGTTTCAAAACTGCTCTCTATCAATGGCAAAGTTCAACTCTGTTAGTTCAGGACACATATCACCAACAAGTTTCTGAGAATGCTTCTGTCTATTTTTTATGGGAAGATATTTCCTTTTTCACCGTAGGCGTCAAGGCGATCGAAATGTCCACTTCCACAAACTACAAAAAGAGTGTTTCAAACCTGCTCTATGAAAGGCCATGTTCATCTCTATGAGTTGAATGGAAATATCCGAAAGAAATTTCTGGGAATGCTGCTGTCTAGTGTTTATACGAATTCCCGCTTCCAACGAAATCCTCAAAACAATCCAAATATCCACTTGCAGAATCCACAAAAAGAGTGTTTCAAAACTGCTCTATCAATAGAAAGGTTCAACTCTTTTAGTTGAGTACACACATCACGAACAAGTTTCTGAGAATGCTTCTGTCTGGCTTTTATTGGAAGACGTTTCCTTTTCACCAAAGGCATCAAAGCGCTCCAAATGTCCACTTCCAGATTCTTCCAAAAGAGTGTTTCAAACGTGCTCAAAGTAAGGGAATGTTCAACTCTATGAGTTGAATGCAGACATCAGAAAGAAATTTCTGAGAATGCTTCTGTCTAGATTTTAGCATGATGATATTCCCGTTTCCAACGAAATCGTTAGAGCTATCCAAATATCCACTTACAGTTGCTACAAAAACAGTGTTTCCAAACTGCTGCATCAAAAGAAAGGTTCAACTCTGTTAGTTGAGGACACACGTCACAAAGAAGTTTGTGAGAATGCTTCTGTCTAGATTTTGTATGACCATATTCCCTTTTCCAGCGATATCATTAAAGCAATCTAAATATCCATTTGCAGAATCCACAAAATTAGAGTTTCAAAGCTGCTCTGTAAAAAGAAAGGTTCCACTCTGTTAGCTGAGTACACACATCACAAACTTGTTTCTCAGAATCCTCCTGTCTACCTTTTATTTGAATTCCCGCTTCCAACGAAATCCTCCAAGCTATCCAAATATCCACTTGCATTTTCCACAAAAAGAGTGTTTCAAAACTGCTCTATCAATGGAAATGTTCAACTCCTTTAGCTGGGTACACACATCACAAACAAGTTTCTGAGAATGCTTCTGTCTAGTTTTTATGGGAAGACATTCCCTTTTTCACCAAAGGCATCAAAGCGCTCCAAATGTCCACTTCCGGACACTACAAAAAGAGTGTTTCCAACGTGCTCTAAGAAAGCGAATGTTCAACTCTGTGACTTGAATGCAGATATCACAAAGTAGTTTCTGAGAGGGCTTCTGTCTAGCATTTTAGATGATGATATTCCCGTTTCCAACGAAATCATTAGAGCTATCCAAATATCCACTTACAGTTTCTACAAAAAGAGTGTTTCCAAACTGCTGCATCAAAAGAGAGGTTCCACTCTGTTAGCTGAGTACACACATCACAAACTTGTTTCTCAGAATCCTTCTGTCTCGTTTTTATGGGAAGATATTTACTTTTTCACCGTAGGCATCAAAGCGCTCCAAATGTCCACATCCAGATACTCCAGAAAGAGTGTTTCAAACCTGCTCTATGAAAGGGAATGTTCAACTCTATGAGTTGAATGCAGACATCAGAAAGAAATTTCTGAGAATGCTGCTGTCTACCTTTTATTTGAATTCCCGCTTCCAACGAAATCCTCCAAGCTATCAAAATATCCACTTGCAGATTCCACAAAAAGAGTGTTTCAAAACTGCTCTCTATCAATGGCAAAGTTCAACTCTGTTAGTTGAGGGCACATATCACCAACAAGTTTCTGAGAATGCTTCTGTCTATTTTTTATGGGAAGATATTTCCTTTTTCACCGCAGGCGTCAAGGCGATCGAAATGTCCACTTCCACAAACTACAAAAAGAGTGTTTCAATATGAAAGGCCATGTTCATCTCTATGAGTTGAATGGAAATATCCGAAAGAAATTTCTGGGAATGCTGCTGTCTAGTGTTTATACGAATTCCCGCTTCCAACGAAATCCTCAAAGCAATCCAAATATCCACTTGCAGAATCCACAAAAAGAGTGTTTCAAAACTGCTCTATCAATAGAAAGGTTCAACTCTTTTAGTTGAGTACACACATCACGAACAAGTTTCTGAGAATGCTTCTCTCTGGCTTTTATTGGAAGACGTTTCCTTTTCACCAAAGGCATCAAAGCGCTCCAAATGTCCACTTCCAGATTCTTCCAAAAGAGTGTTTCAAACGTGCTCAAAGTAAGGGAATGTTCAACTCTGTGACTTGAATGCAGATATCACCAAGTAGTTTCTAATAGTGCTTCTGTCTAGGTTTTAGATGATGATATTCCCGTTTCCAACGAAATCGTTTGAGCTATCCAAATATCCAGTTACAGTTTCTACCAAAAGGGTGTTTCCAAATTGTTGCATCAAAAGAAAGGTTCAACTCTGTTAGTTGAGGACACACATCACAAAGAAGTTTGTGAGAATGCTTCTGTCTAGATTTTGTATGACGATATTCCCTTTTCCAACGATATCGTTAAAGCAATCTAAATATCCATTTGCAGAATCCACAAAAATAGAGTTTCAAAGCTGCTCTGTAAAAAGAAAGGTTCCACTCTGTTAGCTGAGTACACACATCACAAACTTGTTTCTCAGAATCCTTCTGTCTCGTTTTTATGGGAAGATATTTACTTTTCCACCGTAGGCATCAAAGCGCTCCAAATGTCCACATCCGGATACTCCAGAACGAGTGTTTCAAACCTGCTCTATGAAAGGGAATCTTCAACTCTATGAGTTGAATGCAGACATCAGAAAGAAATTTCTGAGAATGCTGCTGTCTACCTTTTATTTGAATTCCCGCTTCCAACGAAATCCTCCAAGCTATCCAAATATCCACCTGCATTTTCCACAAAAAGAGCGTTTCAAAACTGCTCTATCAATAGAAATGTTCAACTCCTTTGGCTGGGTACACACATCACAAACAAGTTTCTGAGAATGCTTCTGTCTAGTTTTTATGGGAAGACATTCCCTTTTTCACCAAAGGCATCAAAGCGCTCCAAATGTCCACTTCCAGACACTACAAAAAGAGTGTTTCCAACGTGCTCTAAGAAAGCGAATGTTCAACTCTGTGACTTGAAAGCAGATATCACAAAGTAGTTTCTGAGAGGGCTTCTGTCCAGATTTTAGATGATGATATTCCCGTTTCCAACGAAATCATTAGAGCTATCCAAATATCCACTTACAGTTTCTACAAAAAGAGTGTTTCCAAACTGCTGCATCAAAAGAGAGGTTCCACTCTGTTAGCTGAGTACACACATCACAAACTTGTTTCTCAGAATCCTGCTGTCTACCTTTTATTTGAATTCCCGCTTCCAACGAAATCCTCCAAGCTATCCAGATATCCACTTGCAGATTCCACAAAAAGAGTGTTTCAAAACTGCTCTCTATCAATGGCAAAGTTCAACTCTGTTAGTTGAGGACACATATCACCAACAAGTTTCTGAGAATGCTTCTGTCTATTTTTTATGGGAAGATATTTCCTTTTTCACCGTAGGCGTCAAGGCGATCGAAATGTCCACTTCCACAAACTACAAAAAGCGTGTTTCAATATGAAAGGCCATGTTCATCTCTATGAGTTGAATGGAAATATCCGAAAGAAATTTCTGGGAATGCTGCTGTCTAGTTTTTATACGAATTCCCGCTTCCAACGAAATCCTCAAAGCAATCCAAATATCCACTTGCAGAATCCACAAAAAGAGTGTTTCAAAACTGCTCTATCAATAGAAAGGTTCAACTCTTTTAGTTGAGTACACACATCACAAACAAGTTTCTGAGAATGCTTCTGTCTGGCTTTTATTGGAAGACGTTTCCTTTTCACCAAAGGCATCAAAGCGCTCCAAATGTCCACTTCCAGATTCTTCCAAAAGAGTGTTTCAAACGTGCTCGAAGTAAGGGAATGTTCTACTCTGTGACTTGAATGCAGATATCACCAAGTAGTTTCTAATAGTGCTTCTGTCTACATTTTAGATGATGATATTCCCGTTTCCAACGAAATCGCTAGAGCTATCCAAATATCCAGTTACAGTTTCTACCAAAAGGGTGTTTCCAAATTGCTGCATCAAAAGAAAGGTTCAACTCTGTTAGTTGAGGACACACATCACAAAGAAGTTTGTGAGAATGCTTCTGTCTACATTTTGTATGACGATATTCCCTTTTCCAACGATATCGTTAAAGCAATCTAAATATCAATTTGCAGAATCCACAAAAATAGAGTTTCAAAGCTGCTCTGTAAAAAGAAAGGTTCCACTCTGTTAGCTGAGTACACACATCACAAACTTGTTTCTGAGAATCCTTCTGTCTCGTTTTTATGGGAAGATATTTACTTTTCCACCGTAGGCATCAAAGCGCTCCAAATGTCCACATCCAGATACTCCAGAACGAGTGTTTCAAACCTGCTCTATGAAAGGGAATCTTCAACTCTATGAGTTGAATGCAGACATCAGAAAGAAATTTCTGAGAATGCTGCTGTCTACCTTTTATTTGAATTCCCGCTTCCAACGAAATCCTCAAAGCTATCCAAATATCCACCTGCATTTTCCACAAAAAGAGTGTTTCAAAACTGCTCTATCAATAGAAATGTTCAACTCCTTTGGCTGGGTACACACATCACAAACAAGTTTCTGAGAATGCTTCTGTCTAGTTTTTATGGGTGGACATTCCCTTTTTCACCAAAGGAATCAAAGCGCTCCAAATGTCCACTTCCAGACACTACAAAAAGAGTGTTTCAAACGTGCTCTAAGAAAGCGAATGTTCAACTCTGTGACTTGAATGCAGATATCACAAAGTAGTTTCTGAGAGTGCTTCTGTCTAGATTTTAGATGATGATATTCCCGTTTCCAACGAAATCATTAGAGCTATCCAAATATCCACTTACAGTTTCTACAAAAAGAGTGTTTCCAAACTGCTGCATCAAAAGAGAGGTTCCACTCTGTTAGCTGAGTACACACATCACAAACTTGTTTCTCAGAATCCTTCTGTCTCGTTTTTATGGGAAGATATTTACTTTTTCACCGTAGGCATCAAAGCGCTCCAAATGTCCACATCCAGATACTCCAGAAAGAGTGTTTCAAACCTGCTCTATGAAATGGAATCTTCAACTCTATGAGTTGAATGCAGACATCAGAAAGAAATTTCTGAGAATGCTGCTGTCTACCTTTTATTTGAATTCCCGCTTCCAACGAAATCCTCCAAGCTATCCAAATATCCACTTGCAGATTCCACAAAAAGAGTGTTTCAAAACTGCTCTCTATCAATGGCAAAGTTCAACTCTGTTAGTTGAGGACACATATCACCAACAAGTTTCTGAGAATGCTTCTGTCTATTTTTTATGGGAAGATATTTCCTTTTTCACCGTAGGCGTCAAGGCGATCGAAATGTCCACTTCCACAAACTACAAAAAGAGTGTTTCAAACCTGCTCTATGAAAGGCCATGTTCATCTCTATGAGTCGAATGGAAATACCCGAAAGAAATTTCTGGGAATGCTGCTGTCTAGTTTTTATACGAATTCCCGCTTCCAACGAAATCCTCAAAGCAATCCAAATATCCACTTGCAGAATCCACAAAAAGAGTGTTTCAAAACTGCTCTATCAATAGAAAGGTTCAACTCTTTTAGTTGAGTACACACATCACAAACAAGTTTCTGAGAATGCTTCTGTCTGGCTTTTATTGGAAGACGTTTCCTTTTCACCAAAGGCATCAAAGCACTCCAAATGTCCACTTCCAGATTCTTCCAAAAGAGTGTTTCAAACGTGCTCAAAGTAAGGGAATGTTCAACTCTGTGACTTGAATGCAGATATCACCAAGTAGTTTCTAATAGTGCTTCTGTCTACATTTTGATGATGATATTCCCGTTTCCAACGAAATCGTTAGAGCTATCCAAATATCCAGTTACAGTTTCTACCAAAAGGGTGTTTCCAAATTGCTGCATCAAAAGAAAGGTTCAACTCTGTTAGTTGAGGACACACATCACAAAGAAGTTTGTGAGAATGCTTCTGTCTAGATTTTGTATGACCATATTCCCTTGTCCAACGATATCGTTAAAGCAATCTAAATATCAATTTGCAGAATCCACAAAAATAGAGTTTCAAAGCTGCTCTGTAAAAAGAAAGGTTCCACTCTGTTAGCTGAGTACACACATCACAAACTTGTTTCTCAGAATCCTTCTGTCTCGTTTTTATGGGAAGATATTTACTTTTTCACCGTAGGCATCAAAGCGCTCCAAATGTCCACATCCAGATACTCCAGAAAGAGTGTTTCAAACCTGCTCTATGAAAGGGAATCTTCAACTCTATGAGTTGAATGCAGACATCAGAAAGAAATTTCTGAGAATGCTGCTGTCTACCTTTTATTTGAACTCCCGCTTCCAACGAAATCCTCCAAGCTATCCAAATATCCACCTGCATTTTCCACAAAAAGAGCGTTTCAAAACTGCTCTATCAATAGAAATGTTCAACTCCTTTGGCTGGGTACACACATCACAAACAAGTTTCTGAGAATGCTTCTGTCTAGTTTTTATGGGAAGACATTCCCTTTTTCACCAAAGGCATCAAAGCGCGCCAAATGTCCACTTCCAGACACTACAAAAAGAGTGTTTCAAACGTGCTCTAAGAAAGCGAATGTTCAACTCTGTGACTTGAATGCAGATATCACAAAGTAGTTTCTGAGAGGGCTTCTGTCTAGATTTTAGATGATGATATTCCCGTTTCCAACGAAATCATTAGAGCTATCCAAATATCCACTTACAGTTTCTACAAAAAGAGTGTTTCCAAACTGCTGCATCAGAAGAGAGGTTCCACTCTGTTAGCTGAGTACACACATCACAAACTTGTTTCTGAGAATCCTTCTGTGTCGTTTTTATGGGAAGATATTTACTTTTTCACCGTAGGCATCAAAGCGCTCCAAATGTCCACATCCAGATACTCCAGAAAGAGTGTTTCAAACCTGCTGCTATGAAAGGGAATCTTCAACTCTATGAGTTGAATGCAGACATCAGAAAGAAATTTCTGAGAATGCTGCTGTCTACCTTTTATTTGAATTCCCGCTTCCAACGAAATCCTCCAAGCTATCCAAATATCCACTTGCAGATTCCACAAAAAGAGTGTTTCAAAACTGCTCTCTATCAATGGCAAAGTTCAACTCTGTTAGTTGAGGACACATATCACCAACAAGTTTCTGAGAATGCTTCTGTCTATTTTTTATGGGAAGATATTTCCTTTTTCAGCGTAGGCGTCAAGGCGATCGAAATGTCCACTTCCACAAACTACAAAAAGAGTGTTTCAAACCTGCTCTATGAAAGGCCATGTTCATCTCTATGAGTTGAATGGAAATATCCGAAAGAAATTTCTGGGAATGCTGCTGTCTAGTGTTTATACGAATTCCTGCTTCCAACGAAATCCTCAAAGCAATCCAAATATCCACTTGCAGAATCCACAAAAAGAGTGTTTCAAAACTGCTCTATCAATAGAAAGGTTCAACTCTTTTAGTTGAGTACACACATCACGAACAAGTTTCTGAGAATGCTTCTGTCTGGCTTTTATTGGAAGACGTTTCCTTTTCACCAAAGGCATCAAAGCGCTCCAAATGTCCACTTCCAGATTCTTCCAAAAGAGTGTTTGAAACGTGCTCAAAGTAAGGGAATGTTCAACTCTGTGACTTGAATGCAGATATCACCAAGTAGTTTCTAATAGTGCTTCTGTCTAGATTTTAGATGATGATATTCCCGTTTCCAACGAAATCGTTAGATCTATCCAAATATCCACTTACAGTTTCTACCAAAAGGGTGTTTCCAAACTGCTGCATCAAAAGAAAGGTTCAACTGTGTTATTTGAGGACACACATCACAAAGAAGTTTGTGAGAATGCTTCTGTCTAGATTTTGTATGACCATATTCCCTTTTCCAACGATATCGTTAAAGCAATCTAAATATCAATTTGCAGAATCCACAAAAATAGAGTTTCAAAGCTGCTCTGTAAAAAGAAAGGTTCCACTCTGTTAGCTGAGTACACACATCACAAACTTGTTTCTGAGAATCCTGCTGTCTACCTTTTATTTGAATTCCCGCTTCCAACGAAATCCTCCAAGCTATCCAAATATCCACCTGCATTTTCCACAAAAAGAGTGTTTCAAAACTGCTCTATCAATAGAAATGTTCAACTCCTTTGGCTGGGTACACACATCACAAACAAGTTTGCTGAGAATGCTTTCTGTCTAGTTTTTATGGGAAGACATTCCCTTTTTCACCAAAGGCATCAAAGCGCTCCAAATGTCCACTTCCAGACACTACAAAAAGAGTGTTTCCAACGTGCTCTAAGAAAGCGAATGTTCAACTGCTGTGACTTGAATGCAGATATCACAAAGTAGTTTCTGAGAGGGCTTCTGTCTAGATTTTAGATGATGATATTCCCGTTTCCAAAGAAATCATTAGAGCTATCCAAATATCCACTTACAGTTTCTACAAAAAGAGTGTTTCCAAACTGCTGCATCAAAAGAGAGGTTCCACTCTGTTAGCTGAGTACACACATCACAAACTTGTTTCTCAGAATCCTTCTGTCTCGTTTTTATGGGAAGATATTTACTTTTTCACCGTAGGCATCAAAGCGCTCCAAATGTCCACATCCAGATACTACAGAAAGAGTATTTCAAACCTGCTCTATGAAAGGGAATCTTCAACTCTATGAGTTGAATGCAGACATCAGAAAGAAATTTCTGAGAATGCTGCTGTCTATCTTTTATTTGAATTCCCGTTTCCAACGAAATCCTCCAAGCTATCCAAATATCCACTTGCAGATTCCACAGAAAGAGTGTTTCAAAACTGCTCTCTATCAATGGCAAAGTTCAACTCTGTCAGTTGAGGACACATATCTCCAACAAGTTTCTGAGAATGCTTCTGTCTATTTTTTATGGGAAGATATTTCCTTTTTCAGCGTAGGCGTCAAGGCGATCGAAATGTCCACTTCCAGAAACTACAAAAAGAGTGTTTCAAACCTGCTCTATGAAAGGCCATGTTCATCTCTATGAGTTGAATGGAAATATCCGAAAGAAATTTCTGGGAATGCTGCTGTCTAGTTTTTATATGAATTCCCGCTTCCAACGAAATCCTCAAAGCAATCCAAATATCCACTTGCAGAATCCACAAAAAGAGTGTTTCAAAACTGCGCTATCAATAGAAAGGTTCAACTCTTTTAGTTGAGTACACACATCACGAACAAGTTTCTGAGAATGCTTCTGTCTGGCTTTCATTGGAAGACGTTTCCTTTTCACCAAAGGCATCAAAGCGCTCCAAATGTCCACTTCCAGATTCTTCCAAAAGAGTGTTTCAAACGTGCTCAAAGTAAGGGAATGTTCAACTCTGTGACTTGAATGCAGATATCACCAAGTAGTTTCTAATAGTGCTTCTGTCTAGATTTTAGATGATGATATTCCCGTTTCCAACGAAATCGTTAGAGCTATCCAAATATCCAGTTACAGTTTCTACCAAAAGGGTGTTTCCAAATTGCTGCATCAAAAGAAAGGTTTAACTCTGTTAGTTGAGGACACACATCACAAAGAAGTTTGTGAGAATGCTTCTGTCCAGCATTTTGTATGACGATATTCCCTTTTCCAACGATATCGTTAAAGCAATCTAAATATCAATTTCCAGAATCCACAAAAATAGAGTTTCAAAGCTGCTCTGTAAAAAGAAAGGTTCCACTCTGTTAGCTGAGTACACACATCACAAACTTGTTTCTGAGAATCCTTCTGTCTCGTTTTTATGGGAAGATATTTACTTTTCCACCGTAGGCATCAAAGCGCTCCAAATGTCCACATCCAGATACTCCAGAACGAGTGTTTCAAACCTGCTCTATGAAAGGGAATCTTCAACTCTATGAGTTGAATGCAGACATCAGAAAGAAATTTCTGAGAATGCTGCTGTCTACCTTTTATTTGAATTCCCGCTTCCAACGAAATCCTCCAAGCTATCCAAATATCCACCTGCATTTTCCACAACAAGAGTGTTTCAAAACTGCTCTATCAATAGAAATGTTCAACTCCTTTGGCTGGGTACACACATCACAAACAAGTTTCTGAGAATGCTTCTGTCTAGTTTTTATGGGAAGACGTTCCCTTTTTCACCAAAGTCATCAAAGCGCTCCAAATGTCCACTTCCAGACACTACAAAAAGAGTGTTTCCAACGTGCTCTAAGAAAGCGAATGTTCAACTCTGTGACTTGAATGCAGATATCACAAAGTAGTTTCTGAGAGGGCTTCTGTCTAGATTTTAGATGATGATATTCCCGTTTCCAACGAAATCATTAGAGCTATCCAAATATCCACTTACAGTTTCTACAAAAAGAGTGTTTCCAAACTGCTGCATCAAAAGAGAGGTTCCACTCTGTTAGCTGAGTACACACATCACAAACTTGTTTCTCAGAATCCGGCTGTCTACCTTTTATTTGAATTCCCGCTTCCAACGAAATCCTCCAAGCTATCCAAATATCCACTTGCAGATTCCACAAAAAGAGTGTTTCAAAACTGCTCTCTATCAATGGCAAAGTTCAACTCTGTTAGTTGAGGACACATATCACCAACAAGTTTCTGAGAATGCTTCTGTCTATTTTTTATGGGAAGATATTTCCTTTTTCACCGTAGGCGTCAAGGCGATCGAAATGTCCACTTCCACAAACTACAAAAAGAGTGTTTCAAACCTGCTCTATGAAAGGCCATGTTCACCTCTATGAGTTGAATGGAAATATCCGAAAGAAATTTCTGGGAATGCTGCTGTCTAGTGTTTATACGAATTCCCGCTTCCAACGAAATCCTCAAAGCAATCCAAATATCCACTTGCAGAATCCACAAAAAGAGTGTTTCAAAACTGCTCTATCAATAGAAAGGTTCAACTCTTTTAGATGAGTACACACATCACGAACAAGTTTCTGAGAATGCTTCTGTCTGGCTTTTATTGGAAGACGTTTCCTTTTCACCAAAGGCATCAAAGCGCTCCAAATGTCCACTTCCAGATTCTTCCAAAAGAGTGTTTCAAACGTGCTCAAAGTAAGGGAATGTTCAACTCTGTGACTTGAATGCAGATATCACCAAGTAGTTTCTAATAGTGCTTCTGTCTACATTTTAGATGATGATATTCCCGTTTCCAACGAAATCGTTAGAGGTATCCAAATATCCAGTTACAGTTTCTACCAAAAGGGTGTTTCCAAATTGCTGCATCAAAAGAAAGGTTCAACTCTGTTAGTTGAGGACACACATCACAAAGAAGTTTGTGAGAATGCTTCTGTCTAGATTTTGTATGACGATATTCCCTTTTCCAACGATATCGTTAAAGCAATCTAAATATCAATTTGCAGAATCCACAAAAATAGAGTTTCAAAGCTGCTCTGTAAAAAGAAAGGTTCCACTCTGTTAGCTGAGTACACACATCACAAACTTGTTTCTGAGAATCCTGCTGTCTACCTTTTATTTGAATTCCCGCTTCCAACGAAATCCTCCAAGCTATCCAAATATCCACCTGCATTTTCCACAAAAAGAGCGTTTCAAAACTGCTCTATCAATAGAAATGTTCAACTCCTTTGGCTGGGTACACACATCACAAACAAGTTTCTGAGAATGCTTCTGTCTAGTTTTTATGGGTAGACATTCCCTTTTTCACCAAAGGAATCAAAGCGCTCCAAATGTCCACTTCCAGCCACTACAAAAAGAGTGTTTCAAACGTGCTCTAAGAAAGCGAATGTTCAACTCTGTGACTTGAATGCAGATATCACACAGTAGTTTCTGAGAGTGCTTCTGTCTAGATTTTAGATGATGATATTCCCGTTTCCAACGAAATCATTAGAGCTATCCAAATATCCACTTACAGTTTCTACAAAAAGAGTGTTTCCAAACTGCTGCATCAAAAGAGAGGTTCCACTCTGTTAGCTGAGTACACACATCACAAACTTGTTTCTCAGAATCCTTCTGTCTCGTTTTTATGGGAAGATATTTACTTTTTCACCGTAGGCATCAAAGCGCTCCAAATGTCCACATCCAGATACTACAGAAAGAGTGTTTCAAACCTGCTCTATGAAAGGGAATCTTCAACTCTATGAGTTGAATGCAGACATCAGAAAGAAATTTCTGAGAATGCTGCTGTCTACCTTTTATTTGAATTCCCGCTTCCAACGAAATCCTCCAAGCTATCCAAATATCCACTTGCAGATTCCACAAAAAGAGTGTTTCAAAACTGCTCTCTATCAATGGCAAAGTTCAACTCTGTTAGTTGAGGACACATATCACCAACAAGTTTCTGAGAATGCTTCTGTCTATTTTTTAAGGGAAGATATTCCCTTTTTCACCGTAGGCGTCAAGGCGATCGAAATGTCCACTTTCACAAACTACAAAAAGAGTGTTTCAAACCTGCTCTATGAAAGGCCATGTTCATCTCTATGAGTTGAATGGATATATCCGAAAGAAATTTCTGGGAATGCTGCTGTCTAGTTTTTATACGAATTCCCGCTTCCAACGAAATCCTCAAAGCAATCCAAATATCCACTTGCAGAATCCACAAAAAGAGTGTTTCAAAACTGCTCTATCAATAGAAAGGTTCAACTCTTTTAGTTGAGTACACACATCACAAACAAGTTTCTGAGAATGCTTCTGTCTGGCTTTTATTGGAAGACGTTTCCTTTTCACCAAAGGCATCAAAGCGCTCCAAATGTCCACTTCCAGATTCTTCCAAAAGAGTGTTTGAAACGTGCTCAAAGTAAGGGAATGTTCAACTCTGTGACTTGAATGCAGATATCACCAAGTAGTTTCTAATAGTGATTCTGTCTCATTTTAGATGATGATATTCCCGTTTCCAAAGAAATCGTTAGAGCTATCCAAATATCCAGTTACAGTTTCTACCAAAAGGGTGTTTCCAAATTGCTGCATCAAAAGAAAGGTTCAACTCTGTTAGTTGAGGACACACATCACAAAGAAGTTTGTGAGAATGCTTCTGTCTAGATTTTGTATGACGATATTCCCTTTTCCAACGATATCGTTAAAGCAATCTAAATATCAATTTGCAGAATCCACAAAAATAGAGTTTCAAAGCTGCTCTGTAAAAAGAAAGGTTCCACTCTGTTAGCTGAGTACACACATCACAAACTTGTTTCTGAGAATCCTTCTGTCTCGTTTTTATGGGAAGATATTTACTTTTTCACCGCAGGCATCAAAGCGCTCCAAATGTCCACATCCAGATACTCCAGAAAGAGTGTTTCAAACCTGCTCTATGAAAGGGAATCTTCAACTCTATGAGTTGAATGCAGACATCAGAAGGAAATTTCTGAGAATGCTTGCTGTCTACCTTTTATTTGAATTCCCGCTTCCAACGAAATCCTCCAAGCTATCCAAATATCCACTTGCATTTTCCACAAAAAGAGTGTTTCAAAACTGCTCTATCAATAGAAATGTTCAACTCCTTTGGCTGGGTACACACATCACAAACAAGTTTCTGAGAATGCTTCTGTCTAGTTTTTATGGGAAGACGTTCCCTTTTTCACCAAAGGCATCAAAGCGCTCCAAATGTCCACTTCAAGACACTACAAAAAGAGTGTTTCCAACGTGCTCTAAGAAAGCGAATGTTCAACTCTGTGACTTGAATGCAGATATCACAAAGTAGTTTCTGAGAGGGCTTCTGTCTAGATTTTAGATGATGATATTCCCGTTTCCAACGAAATCATTAGAGCTATCCAAATATCCACTTACAGTTTCTACAAAAAGAGTGTTTCCAAACTGCTGCATCAAAAGAGACGTTCCACTCTGTTAGCTGAGTACACACATCACAAACTTGTTTCTCAGAATCCTTCTGTCTCGTTTTTATGGGAAGATTATACTTTTTCACCGTAGGCATCAAAGCGCTCCAAATGTCCACATCCAGATACTACAGAAAGAGTGTTTCAAACCTGCTCTATGAAAGGGAATCTTCAACTCTATGAGTTGAATGCAGACATCAGAAAGAAATTTCTGAGAATGCTGCTGTCTACCTTTTATTTGAATTCCCGCTTCCAACGAAATCCTCCAAGCTATCCAAATATCCACTTGCAGATTCCACAAAAAGAGTGTTTCAAAACTGCTCTCTATCAATGGCAAAGTTCAACTCTGTTAGTTGAGGACACATATCACCAACAAGTTTCTGAGAATGCTTCTGTCTATTTTTTATGAGAAGATATTTCCTTTTTCACCGTAGGCGTCAAGGCGATCGAAATGTCCACTTCCACAAACTACAAAAAGAGTGTTTCAAACCTGCTCTATGAAAGGCGATGTTCATCTCTATGAGTTGAATGGAAATATCCGAAAGAAATTTCTGGGAATGCTGCTGTCTAGTGTTTATACGAATTCCCACTTCCAACGAAATCCTCAAAGCAATCCAAATATCCACTTGCAGAATCCACAAAAAGAGTGTTTCAAAACTGCTCTATCAATAGAAAGGTTCAACTCTTTTAGTTGAGTACACACATCACGAACAAGTTTCTGAGAATGCTTCTGTCTGGCTTTTATTGGAAGACGTTTCCTTTTCACCAAAGGCATCAAAGCGCTCCAAATGTCCACTTCCAGATTCTTCCAAAAGAGTGTTTGAAACGTGCTCAAAGTAAGGGAATGTTCAACTCTGTGACTTGAATGCAGATATCACCAAGTAGTTTCTAATAGTGCTTCTGTCTAGATTTTAGATGATGATATTCCCGTTTCCAACGAAATCGTTAGAGCTATCCAAATATCCACTTACAGTTTCTACAAAAAGAGTGTTTCCAAACTGCTGCATCAAAAGAAAGGTTCAACTCTGTTAGTTGAGGACACACATCACAAAGAAGTTTGTGATAATGCTTCTGTCTAGATTTTGTATGACGATATTCCCTTTTCCAACGATATCGTTAAAGCAATCTAAATATCAATTTGCAGAATCCACAAAAATAGAGTTTCAAAGCTGCTCTGTAAAAAGAAAGGTTCCACTGCTGTTAGCTGAGTACACACATCACAAACTTGTTTCTGAGAATCCTGCTGTCTACCTTTTATTTGAGTTCCCGCTTCCAACGAAATCCTCCAAGCTATCCAAATATCCACCTGCATTTTCAACAAAAAGAGTGTTTCAAAACTGCTCTATCAATAGAAATGTTCAACTCCTTTGGCTGGGTACACACATCACAAACAAGTTTCTGAGAATGCTTCTGTCTAGTTTTTATGGGAAGACGTTCCCTTTTTCACCAAAGGCATCAAAGCGCTCCAAATGTCCACTTCCAGACACTACAAAAAGAGTGTTTCAAACGTGCTCTAAGAAAGCGAATGTTCAACTCTGTGAGTTGAATGCAGATATCACAAAGTAGTTTCTGAGAGGGCTTCTGTCCAGATTTTGTATGACGATACTCCCTTTTCCAACGATATCGTTAAAGCAATCTAAATATCCATTTGCAGAATCCACAAAAATAGAGTTTCAAAGCTGCTCTGTAAAAAGAAAGGTTCCACTCTGTTAGCTGAGTACACACATCACAAACTTGTTTCTGAGAATCCTGCTGTCTACCTTTTATTTGAATTCCCGCTTCCAACGAAATCCTCCAAGCTATCCAAATATCCACTTGCAGATTCCACAAAAAGAGTGTTTCAAAACTGCTCTCTATCAATGGCAAAGTTCAACTCTGTTAGTTGAGGACACATATCACCAACAAGTTTCTGAGAATGCTTCTGTCTATTTTTTATGGGAAGATATTTCCTTTTTCACCGTAGGCATCAAGGCGATCGAAATGTCCACTTCCACAAACTACAAAAAGAGTGTTTCAAACCTGCTCTATGAAAGGCGATGTTCATCTCTATAAGTTGAATGGAAATATCCGAAAGAAATTTCTGGGAATGCTGCTGTCTAGTTTTTATACGAATTCCCGCTTCCAACGAAATCCTCAAAGCAATCCAAATATCCACTTGCAGAATCCACAAAAAGAGTGTTTCAAAACTGCTCTATCAATAGAAAGGTTCAAATCTTTTAGTTGAGTACACACATCACGAACAAGTTTCTGAGAATGCTTCTGTCTGGCTTTTATTGGAAGACGTTTCCTTTTCACCAAAGGCATCAAAGCGCTCCAAATGTCCACTTCCAGATTCTTCCAAAAGAGTGTTTCAAACGTGCTCAAAATAAGGGAATGTTCAATTCTGTGACTTGAATGCAGATATCACCAAGTAGTTTCTAATAGTGCTTCTGTCTAGATTTTAGATGATGATATTCCCGTTTCCAACGAAATCGTTAGAGCTATCCAAATATCCACTTACAGTTTCTACCAAAAGGGTGTTTCCAAACTGCTGCATCAAAAGAAAGGTTCAACTCTGTTAGTTGAGGACACACATCACAAAGGAAGTTTGTGAGAATGCTTCTGTCTAGATTTTGTATGACGATATTCCCTTTTCCAACGATATCGTTAAAGCAATCTAAATATCCATTTGCAGAATCCACAAAAATAGAGTTTCAAAGCTGCTCTGTAAAAAGAAAGGTTCCACTCTGTTAGCTGAGTACACACATCACAAACTTGTTTCTCAGAATCCTTCTGTCTCGTTTTTCTGGGAAGATATTTACTTTTTCACCGTAGGCATCAAAGCGCTCCAAATGTCCACATCCAGTTTCAAACCTGCTCTATGAAAGGGAATCTTCAACTCTATGAGTTGAATGCAGACATCAGAAAGAAATTTCTGAGAATGCTGCTGTCTAACTTTTATTTGAATTCCCGCTTCCAACGAAATCCTCCAAGCTATCCAAATATCCACCTGCATTTTCCACAAAAAGAGTGTTTCAAAACTGCTCTATCAATAGAAATGTTCAATTCCTTTGGCTGGGTACACACATCACAAACAAGTTTCTGAGAATGCTTCTGTCTAGTTTTTATGGGAAGACATTCCCTTTTTCACCAAAGGCATCAAAGCGCTCCAAATGTCCACTTCCAGACACTACAAAAAGAGTGTTTCAAACGTGCTCTAAGAAAGCGAATGTTCAACTCTGTGACTTGAATGCAGATATCACAAAGTAGTTTCTGAGAGGGCTTCTGTCTAGATTTTAGATGATGATATTCCCGTTTCCAACGAAATCATTAGAGCTATCCAAATATCCACTTACAGTTTCTACAAAAAGAGTGTTTCCAAACTGCTGCATCAAAAGAGAGGTTCCACTCTGTTAGCTGAGTACACACATCACAAACTTGTTTCTGAGAATCCGTCTGTCTCGTTTTTATGGGAAGATATTTACTTTTTCACCGTAGGCATCAAAGCGCTCCAAATGTCCACATCCAGATACTCCAGAAAGAGTGTTTCAAACCTGCTCTATGAAAGGGAATCTTCAACTCTATGAGTTGAATGCAGACATCAGAAAGAAATTTACTGAGAATGCTGCTGTCTACCTTTAATTTGAATTCCCGCTTCCAACGAAATCCTCCAAGCTATCCAAATATCCACTTGCACATTCCACAAAAAGAGTGTTTCAAAACTGCTCTCTATCAATGGCAAAGTTCAACTCTGTTAGTTGAGGACACATATCACCAACAAGTTTCTGAGAATGCTTCTGTCTATTTTTTATGGGAAGATATTTCCTTTTTCACCGTAGGCGTCAAGGCGATCGAAATGTCCACTTCCACAAACTACAAAAAGAGTGTTTCAAACCTGCTCTATGAAAGGCCATGTTCATCTCTATGAGTTGAATGGAAATATCCGAAAGAAATTTCTGGGAATGCTGCTGTCTAGTGTTTATACGAATTCCCGCTTCCAACGAAATCCTCAAAGCAATCCAAATATCCACTTGCAGAATCCACAAAAAGAGTGTTTCAAAACTGCTCTATCAATAGAAAGGTTCAACTCTTTTAGTTGAGGTACACACATCACGAACAAGTTTCTGAGAATGCTTCTGTCTGGCTTTTATTGGAAGACGTTTCCTTTTCACCAAAGGCATCAAAGCGCTCCAAATGTCCACTTCCAGATTCTTCCAAAAGAGTGTTTGAAACGTGCTCAAAGTAAGGGAATGTTCAACTCTGTGACTTGAATGCAGATATCACCAAGTAGTTTCTAATAGTGCTTCTGTCTAGATTTTAGATGATGATATTCCCGTTTCCAACGAAATCGTTAGAGCTATCCAAATATCCACTTACAGTTTCTACAAAAAGAGTGTTTCCAAACTGCTGCATCAAAAGAAAGGTTCAACTCTGTTAGTTGAGGACACACATCACAAAGAAGTTTGTGAGAATGCTTCTGTCCAGATTTTGTATGACGATATTCCCTTTTCCAACGATATCGTTAAAGCAATCTAAATATCCATTTGCAGAATCCACAAAAATAGAGTTTCAAAGCTGCTCTGTAAAAAGAAAGGTTCCACTCTGTTAGCTGAGTACACACATCACAAACTTGTCTCTCAGAATCCTTTCTGTCTCGTTTTTATGGGAAGACATTTACTTTTTCACCGTAGGCATCAAAGCGCTCCAAATGTCCACATCCAGATACTCCAGAAACAGTGTTTCAAACCTGCTCTATGAAAGGGAATCTTCAACTCTATGAGTTGAATGCAGACATCAGAAAGAAATTTCTGAGAATGCTGCTGTCTACCTTTTATTTGAATTCCCGCTTCCAACGAAATCCTCCAAGCTATCCAAATATCCACTTGCATTTTCCACAAAAAGAATGTTTCAAAACTGCTCTATCAATAGAAATGTTCAACTCCTTTGGCTGGGTACACACATCACAAACAAGTTTCTGAGAATGCTTCTGTCTAGTTTTTATGGGTAGACATTCCCTTTTTCACCAAAGGAATCAAAGCGCTCCAAATGTCCACTTCCAGACACTACAAAAAGAGTGTTTCAAACGTGCTCTAAGAAAGCGAATGTTCAACTCTGTGACTTGAATGCAGATATCACAAAGTAGTTTCTGAGAGGGCTTCTGTCTAGATTTTAGATGATGATATTCCCGTTTCCAACGAAATCATTAGAGCTATCCAAATATCCACTTACAGTTTCTACAAAAAGAGTGTTTCCAAACTGCTGCATCAAAAGAGAGGTTCCACTCTGTTAGCTGAGTACACACATCACAAACTTGTTTCTCAGAATCCTTCTGTCTCGTTTTTATGGGAAGATATTTACTTTTTCACCGTAGGCATCAAAGCGCTCCAAATGTCCACAATCAGATACTCCAGAAAGAGTGTTTCAAACCTGCTCTATGAAAGGGAATCTTCAACTCTATGAGTTGAATGCAGACATCAGAAAGAAATTTCTGAGAATGCTGCTGTCTACCTTTTATTTGAATTCCCGCTTCCAACAAAATCCTCCAAGCTATCCAAATATCCACTTGCAGATTCCACAAAAAGAGTGTTTCAAAACTGCTCTCTATCAATGGCAAAGTTCAACTCTGTTAGTTGAGGACACATATCACCAACAAGTTTCTGAGAATGCTTTCTGTCTATTTTTTATGGGAAGATATTTCCTTTTTCAGCGTAGGCGTCAAGGCGATCCGAAATGTCCACTTCCACAAACTACAAAAAGAGTGTTTCAAACCTGCTCTATGAAAGGCCATGTTCATCTCTATGAGTTGAATGGAAATATCCGAAAGAAATTTCTGGGAATGCTGCTGTCTAGTGTTTATACGAATTCCCGCTTCCAACGAAATCCTCAAAGCAATCCAAATATCCACTTGCAGAATCCACAAAAAGAGTGTTTCAAAACTGCTCTATCAATAGAAAGGTTCAACTCTTTTAGTTGAGTACACACATCACGAACAAGTTTCTGAGAATGCTTCTGTCTGGCTTTTATTGGAAGACGTTTCCTTTTCACCAAAGGCATCAAAGTGCTCCAAATGTCCACTTCCAGATTCTACCAAAAGAGTGTTTCAAACGTGCTCATAGTAAGGGAATGTTCAACTCTGTGACTTGAATGCAGATATCACCAAGTAGTTTCTAATAGTGCTTCTGTCTAGATTTTAGATGATGATATTCCCGTTTCCAACGAAATCGCTAGAGCTATCCAAATATCCAGTTACAGTTTCTACCAAAAGGGTGTTTCCAAATTGCTGCATCAAAAGAAAGGTTCAACTCTGTTAGTTGAGGACACACGTCACAAAGAAGTTTGTGAGAATGCTTCTGTCTAGATTTTGTATGACGATATTCCCTTTTCCAACGATATCGTTAAAGCAATCTAAATATCAATTTGCAGAATCCACAAAAATAGAGTTTCAAAGCTGCTCTGCAAAAAAGAAAGGTTCCACTCTGTTAGCTGAGTACACACATCACAAACTTGTTTCTGAGAATCCTTCTGTCTCGTTTTTATGGGAAGATATTTACTTTTTCACCGTAGGCATCAAAGCGCTCCAAATGTCCACATCCAGATACTCCAGAAAGAGTGTTTCAAACCTGCTCTATGAAAGGGAATCTTCAACTCTATGAGTTGAATGCAGACATCAGAAAGAAATTTCTGAGAATGCTGCTGTCTACCTTTTATTTGAACTCCCGCTTCCAACGAAATCCTCCAAGCTATCCAAATATCCACTTGCATTTTCCACAAAAAGAGTGCTTCAAAACTGCTCTATCAATAGAAATGTTCAACTCCTTTAGCTGGGTGCACACATCACAAACAAGTTTCTGAGAATGCTTCTGTCTAGTTTTTGTGGGAAGACATTCCCTTTTTCACCAAAGGCATCAAAGCGCTCCAAATGTCCACTTCCAGACACTACAAAAAGAGTGTTTCAAACGTGCTCTAAGAAAGCGAATGTTCAACTCTGTGACTTGAATGCAGATATCACCAAGTAGTTTCTGAGAGGGCTTCTGTCTAGATTTTAGATGATGATATTCCCGTTTCCAACGAAATCATTAGAGCTATCCAAATATCCACTTACAGTTTCTACAAAAAGAGTGTTTCCAAACTGCTGCATCAAAAGAGAGGTTCCACTCTGTTAGCTGAGTACACACATCACAAACTTGTTTCTCAGAATCCTTCTGTCTAGTTTTCATGGGAAGATATTTACTTTTTCACCGTAGGTATCAAAGCGCTCCAAATGACCACATCCAGATACTACAGAAAGAGTGTTTCAAACCTGCTCTATGAAAGGGAATCTTCAACTCAATGAGTTGAATGCAGACATCAGAAAGTAATTTCTGAGAATGCTGCTGTCTACCTTTTATTTGAATTCCCGCTTCCAACGAAATCCTCCAAGCTATCCAAATATCCACTTGCAGATTCCACAAAAAGAGTGTTTCAAAACTGCTCTCTATCAATGGCAAAGTTCAACTCTGTTAGTTGAGGACACATATCAGCAACAAGTTTCTGAGGATGCTTCTGTCTATTTTTTATGGGAAGATATTTCCTTTTTCACCGTAGGCGTCAAGGCGATCGAAATGTCCACTTCCACAAACTACAAAAAGAGTGTTTGAAACCTGCTCTATGAAAGGCCATGTTCATCTCTATGAGTTGAATGGAAATATCCGAAAGAAATTTCTGGGAATGCTGCTGTCTAGTGTTTATACGAATTCCCGCTTCCAACGAAATCCTCAAAGCAATCCAAATATCCACTTGCAGAATCCACAAAAAGAGTGTTTCAAAACTGCTCTATCAATAGAAAGGTTCAACTCTTTTAGTTGAGTACACACATCACCAACAAGTTTCTGAGAATGCTTCTGTCTGGCTTTTATTGGAAGACGTTTCCTTTTCACCAAAGGCATCAAAGCGCTCCAAATGTCCACTTCCAGATTCTTCCAAAAGAGTGTTTGAAACGTGCTCAAAGTAAGGGAATGTTCAACTCTGTGACTTGAATGCAGATATCACCAAGTAGTTTCTAATAGTGCTTCTGTCTAGATTTTAGATGATGATATTCCCGTTTCCAACGAAATCGTTAGAGCTATCCAAATATCCACTTACAGTTTCTACCAAAAGGGTGTTTCCAAACTGCTGCATCAAAAGAAAGGTTCAACTCTGTTAGTTGAGGACACACGTCACAAAGCTGTTTGTGAGAATGCTTCTGTCCAGATTTTGTATGACGATATTCCCTTTTCCAACGATATCGTTAAAGCAATCTAAATATCAATTTGCAGAATCCACAAAAATAGAGTTTCAAAGCTGCTCTGTAAAAAGAAAGGTTCCACTCTGTTAGCTGAGTACACACATCACAAACTTGTTTCTGAGAATCCTTCTGTCTCGTTTTTATGGGAAGATATTTACTTTTTCACTGTAGGCATCAAAGCGCTCCACATGTCCACATCCAGATACTACAGAAAGAGTATTTCAAACCTGTCCTATGAAAGGGAATGTTCAACTCTATGAGTTGAATGCAGACATCAGAAAGAAATTTCTGAGAATGCTGCTGTCTACCTTTTATTTGAATTCCCGCTTCCAACGAAATCCTCCAAGCTATCCAAATATCCACTTGCATTTTCCACAAAAAGAGTGTTTCAAAACTGCTCTATCAATAGAAATGTTCAACTCCTTTAGCTGGGTACACACATCACAAACAAGTTTCTGAGAATGCTTCTGTCTAGTTTTTATGGGAAGACATTCCCTTTTTCACCAAAGGCATCAAAGCGCTCCAAATGTCCACTTCCAGACACTACAAAAAGAGTGTTTCAAACGTGCTCTAAGAAAGCGAATGTTCAACTCTGTGAGTTGAATGCAGATATCACAAAGTAGTTTCTGAGAGGGCTTCTGTCTAGATTTTAGATGATGATATTCCCGTTTCCAACGAAATCATTAGAGCTATCCAAATATCCACTTACAGTTTCTACAAAAAGAGAGTTTCCAAACTGCTGCATCAAAAGAGAGGTTCCACTCTGTTAGCTGAGTACACACATCACAAACTTGTTTCTCAGAATCCTTCTGTCTCGTTTTTTATGGGAAGATATTTACTTTTCCACCGTAGGCATCAAAGCGCTCCAAATGTCCACATCCAGATACTCCAGAACGAGTGTTTCAAACCTGCTCTATGAAAGGGAATCTTCAACTCTATGAGTTGAATGCAGACATCAGAAAGAAATTTCTGAGAATGCTGCTGTCTACCTTTTATTTGAATTCCCGCTTCCAACGAAATCCTCCAAGCTATCCAAATATCCACTTGCAGATTCCACAAAAAGAGTGTTTCAAAACTGCTCTCTATCAATGGCAAAGTTCAACTCTGTTAGTTGAGGACACATATCACCAACAAAGGTTTGTCTGAGAATGCTTCTGTCTATTTTTTATGGGAAGATATTTCCTTTTTCACCGTAGGCGTCAAGGCGATCGAAATGTCCACTTCCACAAACTACAAAAGGAGTGCTTCAAACCTGCTCTATGAAAGGCCATGTTCATCTCTATGAGTTGAATGGAAATATCCGAAAGAAATTTCTGGGAATGCTGCTGTCTAGTTTTTATACGAATTCCCGCTTCCAACGAAATCCTCAAAGCAATCCAAATATCCACTTGCAGAATCCACAAAAAGAGTGTTTCAAAACTGCTCTATCAATAGAAAGGTTCAACTCTTTTAGTTGAGTTCACACATCACAAACAAGTTTCTGAGAATGCTTCTGTCTGGCTTTTATTGGAAGACGTTTCCTTTTCACCAAAGGCATCAAAGCGCTCCAAATGTCCACTTCCAGATTCTTCCAAAAGAGTGATTCAAACGTGCTCAAAGTAAGGGAATTTCAACTCTGTGACTTGAATGCAGATATCACCAAGTAGTTTCTAATAGTGCTTCTGTCTACATTTTAGATGATGATATTCCCGTTTCCAACGAAATCGCTAGAGCTATCCAAATATCCAGTTACAGTTTCTACCAAAAGGGTGTTTCCAAATTGCTGCATCAAAAGAAAAGTTCAACTCTGTTAGTTGAGGACACACATCACAAAGAAGTTTGTGAGAATGCTTCTGTCTAGATTTTGTATGACGATATTCCCTTTTCCAACGATATCGTTAAAGCAATCTAAATATCCATTTGCAGAATCCACAAAAATAGAGTTTCAAAGCTGCTCTGTAAAAAGAAAGGTTCCACTCTGTTAGCTGAGTACACACATCACAAACTTGTTTCTGAGAATCCTTCTGTCTCGTTTTTATGGGAAGATATTTACTTTTTCACTGTAGGCATCAAAGCGCTCCAAATGTCCACATCCAGATACTCCAGAAAGAGTGTTTCAAACCTGCTCTATGAAAGGGAATCTTCAACTCTATGAGTTGAATGCAGACATCAGAAAGAAATTTCTGAGAATGCTGCTGTCTACCTTTTATTAGAATTCCCGCTTCCAACGAAATCCTCCAAGCTATCCAAATATCCACCTGCATTTTCCACAAAAAGAGTGTTTCAAAACTGCTCTATCAATAGAAATGTTCAACTCCTTTGGCTGGGTACACACATCACAAACAAGTTTCTGAGAATGCTTCTGTCTAGTTTTTATGGGAAGACGTTCCCTTTTTCACCAAAGCCATCAAAGCGCTCCAAATGTCCACTTCCAGACACTACAAAAAGAGTGTTTCAAACGTGCTCTAAGAAAGCGAATGTTCAACTCTGTGACTTGAATGCAGATATCACAAAGTAGTTTCTGAGAGTGCTTCTGTCTAGATTTTAGATGATGATATTCCCGTTTCCAACGAAATCATTAGAGCTATACAAATATCCACTTACAGTTTCTACAAAAAGAGTGTTTCCAAACTGCTGCATCAAAAGAGAGGTTCCACTCTGTTAGCTGAGTACACACATCACAAACTAGTTTCTCAGAATCCTTCTGTCTCGTTTTTATGGGAAGATATTTACTTTCTCACCGTAGGCATCAAAGCGCTCCAAATGTCCACATCCAGATACTCCAGAAAGAGTGTTTCAAACCTGCTCTATGAAAGGGAATCTTCAACTCTATGAGTTGAATGCAGACATCAGAAAGAAATTTCTGAGAATGCTGCTGTCTACCTTTTATTTGAATTCCCGCTTCCAACGAAATCCTCCAAACTATCCAAATATCCACTTGCAGATTCCACAAAAAGAGTGTTTCAAAACTGCTCTCTATCAATGGCAAAGTTCAACTCTGTTAGTTCAGGACACATATCACCAACAAGTTTCTGAGAATGCTTCTGTCTATTTTTTATGGGAAGATATTTCCTTTTTCACCGTAGGCGTCAAGGCGATCGAAATGTCCACTTCCACAAAATACAAAAAGAGTGTTTCAAACCTGCTCTATGAAAGGCCATGTTCATCTCTATGAGTTGAATGGAAATATCCGAAAGAAATTTCTGGGAATGCTGCTGTCTAGTGTTTATACGAATTCCCGCTTCCAACGAAATCCTCAAAGCAATCCAAATATCCACTTGCAGAATCCACAAAAAGAGTGTTTCTAAACTGCTCTATCAATAGAAAGGTTCAACTCTTTTAGTTGAGTACACACATCACGAACAAGTTTCTGAGAATGCTTCTGTCTGGCTTTTATTGGAAGACGTTTCCTTTTCACCAAAGGCATCAAAGCGCTCCAAATGTCCACTTCCAGATTCTTCCAAAAGAGTGTTTCAAACGTGCTCAAAGTAAGGGAATGTTCAACTCTGTGACTTGAATGCAGATATCACCAAGTAGTTTCTAATAGTGCTTCTGTCTAGATTTTAGATGATGATATTCCCGTTTCCAACGAAATCGTTAGAGCTATCCAAATATCCACTTACAGTTTCTACCAAAAGGGTGTTTCCAAACTGCTGCATCAAAAGAAAGATTCAACTCTGTTAGTTGAGGACACACATCACAAAAAAGTTTGTGAGAATGCTTCTGTCTAGATTTTGTATGACGATATTCCCTTTTCCAACGATATCGTTAAAGCAATCTAAATATCCATTTGCAGAATCCACAAAAATAGAGTTTCAAAGCTGCTCTGTGAAAAGAAAGGTTCCACTCTGTTAGCTGAGTACACACATCACAAACTTGTTTCTCAGAATCCTTCTGTCTCGTTTTTATGGGAAGATATTTACTTTTTCACCGTAGGCATCAAAGCGCTCCAAATGTCCACATCCAGATACTACAGAAAGAGTATTTCAAACCTGCTCTATGAAAGGGAATGTTCAACTCTATGAGTTGAATGCAGACATCAGAAAGAAATTTCTGAGAATGCTGCTGTCTACCTTTTATTTGAATTCACGCTTCCAACGAAATCCTCCAAGCTATCCAAATATCCACTTGCATTTTCCACAAAAAGAGTGTTTCAAAACTGCTCTATCAATAGAAATGTTCAACTCCTTTAGCTGGGTACACACATCACAAACAAGTTTCTGAGAATGCTTCTGTCTAGTTTTTATGGGAAGACATTCCCTTTTTCACCAAAGGCATCAAAGCGCTCCAAATGTCCACTTCCAGACACTACAAAAAGAGTGTTTCAAACGTGCTCTAAGAAAGCGAATGTTCAACTCTGTGACTTGAATGCAGATATCACAAAGTAGTTTCTGAGAGGGCTTCTGTCTAGATTTTAGATGATGATATTCCCGTTTCCAACGAAATCATTAGAGCTATCCAAATATCCACTTACAGTTTCTACAAAAAGAGTGTTTCCAAACTGCTGCATCAAAAGAGAGGTTCCACTCTGTTAGCTGAGTACACACATCACAAACTAGTTTCTCAGAATCCTTCTGTCTCGTTTTTATGGGAAGATATTTACTTTCTCACCATAGGCCTCAAAGCGCTCCAAATGTCCACATCCAGATACTCCAGAAAGAGTGTTTCAAACCTGCTCTATGAAAGGGAATCTTCAACTCTATGAGTTGAATGCAGACATCAGAAAGAAATTTCTGAGAATGCTGCTGTCTACCTTTTATTTGAATTCCCACTTCCAACGAAATCCTCCAAGCTATCCAAATATCCACTTGCAGATTCCACAAAAAGAGTGTTTCAAAACTGCTCTCTATCAATGGCAAAGTTCAACTCTGTTAGTTGAGGACACATATCACCAACAAGTTTCTGAGAATGCTTCTGTCTATTTTTTATGGGAAGATATTTCCTTTTTCACCGTAGGCGTCAAGGTGATCGAAATGTCCACTTCCACAAACTACAAAAAGAGTGTTTCAAACCTGCTCTATGAAAGGTCATGTTCTTCTCTATGAGTTGAATGGAAATATCCGAAAGAAATTTCTGGTAATGCTGCTGTCTAGTTTTTATACGAATTCCCGCTTCCAACGAAATCCTCAAAGCAATCCAAATATCCACTTGCAGAATCCACAAAAAGAGTGTTTCAAAACTGCTCTATCAATAGAAAGGTTCAACTCTTTTAGTTGAGTACACACATCACAAACAAGTTTCTGAGAATGCTTCTGTCGGGCTTTTATTGGAAGACGTTTCCTTTTCACCAAAGGCATCAAAGCGCTCCAAATGTCCACTTCCAGATTCTTCCAAAAGAGTGTTTCAAACGTGCTCAAAGTAAGGGAATGTTCAACTCTGTGACTTGAATGCAGATATCACCAAGTAGTTTCTAATAGTGCTTCTGTCTAGATTTTAGATGATGATATTCCCGTTTCCAACGAAATCGTTAGAGCTATCCAAATATCCAGTTACAGTTTCTACCAAAAGGGTGTTTCCAAATTGCTGCATCAAAAGAAAGGTTCAACTCTGTTAGTTGAGGACACACATCACAAAGAAGTTTGTGAGAATGCTTCTGTCTAGATTTTGTATGACGGTATTCCCTTTTCCAACGATATCGTTAAAGCAATCTAAATATCAATTTGCAGAATCCACAACAATAGAGTTTCAAAGCTGCTCTGTAAAAAGAAAGGTTCCACTCTGTTAGCTGAGTACACACATTACAAACTTGTTTCTGAGAATCCTTCTGTCTCGTTTTTATGGGAAGATATTTACTTTTCCACCGTAGGCATCAAAGCGCTCCAAATGTCCACATCCAGATACTCCAGAAAGAGTGTTTCAAACCTGCTCTATGAAAGGGAATGTTCAACTCTATGAGTTGAATGCAGACATCAGAAAGAAATTTCTGAGAATGCTGCTGTCTACCTTTTATTTGAATTCCCGCTTCCAACGAAATCCTCCAAGCTATCCAAATATCCACCTGCATTTTCCACAACAAGAGTGTTTCAAAACTGCTCTATCAATAGAAATGTTCAACTCCTTTGGCTGGGTACACACATCACAAACAAGTTTCTGAGAATGCTTCTGTCTAGTTTTTATGGGAAGACGTTCCCTTTTTCACCAAAGGCATCAAAGCGCTCCAAATGTCCACTTCCAGACACTACAAAAAGAGTGTTTCAAACGTGCTCTAAGAAAGCGAATGTTCAACTCTGTGACTTGAATGCAGATATCACAAAGTGGTTTCTGAGAGTGCTTCTGTCTAGATTTTAGATGATGATATTCCCGTTTCCAACGAAATCATTAGAGCTATCCAAATATCCACTTACAGTTTCTACAAAAAGAGTGTTTCCAAACTGCTGCATCAAAAGAGAGGTTCCACTCTGTTAGCTGAGTACACACATCACAAACTTGTTTCTCAGAGTCCTGCTGTCTACCTTTTATTTGAATTCCCGCTTCCAACGAAATCCTCCAAGCTATCCAAATATCCACTTGCAGATTCCACAAAAATAGTGTTTCAAAACTGCTCTCTATCAATGGCAAAGTTCAACTCTGTTAGTTGAGGACACATATCACCAACAAGTTTCTGAGAATGCTTCTGTCTATTTTTTATGGGAAGATATATCCTTTTTCACCGTAGGCGTCAAGGCAATCGAAATGTCCACTTCCACAAACTACAAAAAGAGTGTTTCAAACCTGCTCTATGAAAGGCCATGTTCATCTCTATGAGTCGAATGGAAATATCCGAAAGAAATTTCTGGGAATGCTGCTGTCTAGTTTTTATACGAATTCCCGCTTCCAACGAAATCCTCAAAGCAATCCAAATATCCACTTGCAGAATCCACAAAAAGAGTGTTTCAAAACTGCTCTATCAATAGAAAGGTTCAACTCTTTTAGTTGAGTACACACATCACAAACAAGTTTCTGAGAATGCTTCTGTCTGGCTTTTATTGGAAGACGTTTCCTTTTCACCAAAGGCATCAAAGCGCTCCAAATGTCCACTTCCAGATTCTTCCAAAAGAGTGTTTGAAACGTGCTCAAAGTAAGGGAATGTTCAACTGCTGTGACTTGAATGCAGATATCACCAAGTAGTTTCTAATAGTGCTTCTGTCTACATTTTGATGATGATATTCCCGTTTCCAACGAAATCGTTAGAGCTATCCAAATATCCAGTTAGTTTCTACCAAAAGGGTGTTTCCAAATTGCTGCATCAAAAGAAAGGTTCAACTCTGTTAGTTGAGGACACACATCACAAAGAAGTTTGTGAGAATGCTTCTGTCTAGATTTTGTATGACGATATTCCCTTTTCCAACGATATCGTTAAAGCAATCTAAATATCAATTTGCAGAATCCACAAAAATAGAGTTTCAAAGCTGCTCTGTAAAAAGAAAGGTTCCACTCTGTTAGCTGAGTACACACATCACAAACTTGTTTCTCAGAATCCTGCTGTCTACCTTTTATTTGAATTCCCGCTTCCAACGAAATCCTCCAAGCTATCCAAATATCCACCTGCATTTTCCACAAAAAGAGTGTTTCAAAACTGCTCTATCAATAGAAATGTTCAACTCCTTTGGCTGGGTACACACATCACAAACAAGTTTCTGAGCATGCTTCTGTCTAGTTTTTATGGGAAGACATTCCCTTTTTCACCAAAGGCATCAAAGCGCTCCAAATGTCCACTTCCAGACACTACAAAAAGAGTGTTTCAAACGTGCTCTAAGAAAACGAATGTTCAACTCTGTGACTTGAATGCAGATATCACAGAGTAGTTTTCTGAGAGGGCTTCTGTCTAGATTTTAGATGATGATATTCCCGTTTCCAACGAAATCATTAGAGCTATCCAAATATCCACTTACAGTTTCTACAAAAAGAGTGTTTCCAAACTGCTGCATCAAAAGAGAGGTTCCACTCTGTTAGCTGAGTACACACAGCACAAACTTGTTTCTCAGAATCCTTCTGTCTCGTTTTTATGGGAAGATATTTACTTTTTCACCGTAGGCATCAAAGCGCTCCAAATGTCCACATCCAGATACTCCAGAAAGAGTGTTTCAAACCTGCTCTATGAAACGGAATCTTCAACTCTATGAGTTGAATGCAGACATCAGAAAGAAATTTCTGAGAATGCTGCTGTCTACCTTTTATTTGAATTCCCGCTTCCAACGAAATCCTCCAAGCTATCCAAATATCCACTTGCAGATTCCACAAAAAGAGTGTTTCAAAACTGCTCTCTATCAATGGCAAAGTTCAACTCTGTTAGTTGAGGACACATATCACCAACAAGTTTCTGAGAATGCTTCTGTCTATTTTTTATGGGAAGATATTTCCTTTTTCACCGTAGGCGTCAAGGCGATCGAAATGTCCACTTCCACAAACTACAAAAAGAGTGTTTCAAACCTGCTCTATGAAAGGCCATGTTCATCTCTATGAGTCGAATGGAAATATCCGAAAGAAATTTCTGGGAATGCTGCTGTCTAGTTTTTATACGAATTCCCGCTTCCAACGAAATCCTCAAAGCAATCCAAATATCCACTTGCAGAATCCACAAAAAGAGTGTTTCAAAACTGCTCTATCAATAGAAAGGTTCAACTCTTTTAGTTGAGTACACACATCACAAACAAGTTTCTGAGAATGCTTCTGTCTGGCTTTTATTGGAAGACGTTTCCTTTTCACCAAAGGCATCAAAGCGCTCCAAATGTCCACTTCCAGATTCTTCCAAAAGAGTGTTTCAAACGTGCTCAAAGTAAGGGAATGTTCAACTCTGTGACTTGAATGCAGATATCACCAAGTAGTTTCTAATAGTGCTTCTGTCTAAATTTTAGATGACGATATTCCCGTTTCCAACGAAATCGTTACAGCTATCCAATTATCCACTTACAGTTTCTACAAAAAGAGTGTTTCCAAACTGCTGCATCAAAAGAAAGGTTCAACTCTGTTAGTTGAGGACACACATCACAAAGAAGTTTGTGAGAATGCTTCTGTCCAGATTTTGTATGACGATATTCCCTTTTCCAACGATATCATTAAAGCAATCTAAATATCCATTTGCAGAATCCACAAAAATAGAGTTTCAAAGCTGCTCTGTAAAAAGAAAGGTTCCACTCTGTTAGCTGAGTACACACATCACATACTTGTCTCTCAGAATCCTTCTGTCTCGTTTTTATGGGAAGATATTTACTTTTCCACCGTAGGCATCAAAGCGCTCCAAATGTCCACATCCAGATACTCCAGAAAGAGTGTTTCAAACCTGCTCTATGAAAGGGAATCTTCAACTCTATGAGTTGAATGCAGACATCACAAAGAAATTTCTGAGAATGCTCCTGTCTACCTTTTATTTGAATTCCCGCTTCCAACGAAATCCTCCAAGCTATCCAAATATCCACTTGCATTTTCCACAAAAAGAGTGTTTCAAAACTGCTCTATCAATAGAAATGTTCAACTCCTTTAGCTGGGTACACACATCACAAACAAGTTTCTGAGAATGCTTCTGTCTAGTTTTTATGGGAAGACCATTCCCTTTTTCACCAAAGGCATCAAAGCGCTCCAAATGTCCACTTCCAGACACTACAAAAAGAGTGTTTCCAACGTGCTCTAAGAAAGCGAATGTTCAACTCTGTGACTTGCATGCAGATATCACAAAGTAGTTTCTGAGAGGGCTTCTGTCTAGATTTTAGATGATGATATTCCCGTTTCCAACGAAATCATTAGAGCTATCCAAATATCCACTTACAGTTTCTACAAAAAGAGTGTTTCCAAACTGCTGCATCAAAACAGAGGTTCCACTCTGTTAGCTGAGTACACACATCACAAACTAGTTTCTCAGAATCCTTCTGTCTCGTTTTTATGGGAAGATATTTACTTTTTCACCGTAGGCATCAAAGCGCTCCAAATGTCCACATCCAGATACTCCAGAAAGAGTGTTTCAAACCTGCTCTATGAAAGGGAATGTTCAACTCTATGAGTTGAATGCAGACATCAGAAAGAAATTTCTGAGAATGCTGCTGTCTACCTTTTATTTGAATTCCCGCTTCCAACGAAATCCTCCAAGCTATCCAAATATCCACCTGCATTTTCCACAACAAGAGTGTTTCAAAACTGCTCTCTATCAATGGCAAAGTTCAACTCTGTTAGTTGAGGACACATATCACCAACAAGTTTCTGAGAATGCTTCTGTCTATTTTTTATGGGAAGATAATTCCTTTTTCAGCGTAGGCGTCAAGGCGATCGAAATGTCCACTTCCACAAACTACAAAAAGAGTGTTTCAAACCTGCTCTATGAAAGGCCATGTTCATCTCTATGAGTTGAATGGAAATATCCGAAAGAAATTTCTGGGAATGCTGCTGTCTAGTTTTTATATGAATTCCCGCTTCCAACGAAATCCTCAAAGCAATCCAAATATCCACTTGCAGAATCCACAAAAAGAGTGTTTCAAAACTGCTCTATCAATAGAAAGGTTCAACTCTTTTAGTTGAGTACACACATCACCAACAAGTTTCTGAGAATGCTTCTGTCTGGCTTTTATTGGAAGACGTTTCCTTTTCACCAAAGGCATCAAAGCGCTCCAAATGTCCACTTCCAGATTCTTCCAAAGGAGTGTTTCAAACGTGCTCGAAGTAAGGGAATGTTCTACTCTGTGACTTGAATGCAGATATCACCAAGTAGTTTCTAATAGTGCTTATCTGTCTAGATTTTAGATGATGATATTCCCGTTTCCAACGAAATCGTTAGAGCTAAGCAAATATCCAGTTACAGTTTCTACAAAAAGGGTGTTTCCAAATTGCTGCATCAAAAGAAAGGTTCAACTCGGTTAGTTGAGGACACACACCACAAAGAAGTTTGTGAGAATGCTTCTGTCTAGATTTTGTATGACGATATTCCCTTTTCCAACGATATCGTTAAAGCAATCTAAATATCAATTTGCAGAATCCACAAAAATAGAGTTTCAAAGCTGCTCTGTAAAAAGAAAGGTTCCACTCTGTTAGCTGAGTACACACATCACAAACTTGTTTCTGAGAATCCTTGTCTGTCTCGTTTTTATGGGAAGATATTTACTTTTCCACCGTAGACATCAAAGCGCTCCAAATGTCCACATCCAGATACTCCAGAACGAGTGTTTCAAACCTGCTCTATGAAAGGGAATCTTCAACTCTATGAGTTGAATGCAGACATAAGAAAGAAATTTCTGAGAATGCTGCTGTCTAACTTTTATTTGAATTCCCGCTTCCAACGAAATCCTCCAAGCTATCCAAATATCCACCTGCATTTTCCACAAAAAGAGTGTTTCAAAACTGCTCTATCAATAGAAATGTTCAACTCCTTTGGCTGGGTACACACATCACAAACAAGTTTCTGAGAATGCTTCTGTCTAGTTTTTATGGGAAGACATTCCCTTTTTCACCAAAGGCATCAAAGCGCTCCAAATGTCCACTTCCAGACACTACAAAAAGAGTGTTTCCAACGTGCTCTAAGAAAGCGAATGTTCAACTGCTGTGACTTGAATGCAGATATCACAAAGTAGTTTCTGAGAGGGCTTCTGTCTAGATTTTAGATGATGATATTCCCGTTTCCAACGAAATCATTAGAGCTATCCAAATATCCACTTACAGTTTCTACAAAAAGAGTGTTTCCAAACTGCTGCATCAAAAGAGAGGTTCCACTCTGTTAGCTGAGTACACACATCACAAACTTGTTTCTCAGAATCCTTCTGTCTCGTTTTTATGGGAAGATATTTACTTTTTCATCGTAGGCATCAAAGCGCTCCAAATGTCCACATCCAGATACTCCAGAAAGAGTGTTTCAAACCTGCTCTATGAAAGGGAATGTTCAACTCTATGAGTTGAATGCAGACATCAGAAAGAAATTTCTGAGAATGCTGCTGTCTACCTTTTATTTGAATTCCCGCTTCCAACGAAATCCTCCAAGCTATCCAAATATCCACTTGCAGATTCCACAAAAAGAGTGTTTCAAAACTGCTCTCTATCAATGGCAAAGTTCAACTCTGTTAGTTGAGGACACATATCACCAACAAGTTTCTGAGAATGCTTCTGTCTATTTTTTATGGGAAGATATTTCCTTTTTCACCGTAGGCGTCAAGGCGATCGAAATGTCCACTTCCACAAACTACAAAAAGAGTGTTTCAAACCTGCTCTATGAAAGGCCATGTTCATCTCTATGAGTTGAATGGAAATATCCGAAAGAAATTTCTGGGAATGCTGCTGTCTAGTGTTTATACGAATTCCCGCTTCCAACGAAATCCTCAAAGCAATCCAAATATCCACTTGCAGAATCCACAAAAAGAGTGTTTCAAAACTGCTCTATCAATAGAAAGGTTCATCTCTTTTAGTTGAGTACACACATCACGAACAAGTTTCTGAGAATGCTTCTGTCTGGCTTTTATTGGAAGACGTTTTCTTTTCACCAAAGGCATCATCAAAGCGCTACAAATGTCCACTTCCAGATTCTTCCAAAAGAGTGTTTCAAACGTGCTCAAAGTAAGGGAATGTTCAACTCTGTGACTTGAATGCAGATATCACCAAGTAGTTTCTAATAGTGCTTCTGTCTAGATTTTAGATGATGATATTCCCGTTTCCAACGAAATCGTTAGAGCTAAGCAAATATCCAGTTACAGTTTCTACAAAAAGGGTGTTTCCAAATTGCTGCATCAAAAGAAAGGTTCAACTCTGTTAGTTGAGGACACACACCACAAAGAAGTTTGTGAGAATGCTTCTGTCTAGATTTTGTATGACGATATTCCCTTTTCCAACGATATCGTTAAAGCAATCTAAATATCAATTTGCAGAATCCACAAAAATAGAGTTTCAAAGCTGCTCTGTAAAAAGAAAGGTTCCACTCTGTTAGCTGAGTACACACATCACAAACTTGATTCTGAGAATCCTTCTGTCTCGTTTTTATGGGAAGATATTTACTTTTCCACCGTAGGCATCAAAGCGCTCCAAATGTCCACATCCAGATGCTCCAGAACGAGTGTTTCAAACCTGCTCTATGAAAGGGAATCTTCAACTCTATGAGTTGAATGCAGACATCAGAAAGAAATTTCTGAGAATGCTGCTGTCTACCTTTTATTTGAATTCCCGCTTCCAACGAAATCCTCCAAGCTATCCAAATATCCACTTGCATTTTCCACAAAAAGAGTGTTTCAAAACTGCTCTATCAATAGAAATGTTCAACTCCTTTAGCTGGGTACACACATCACAAACAAGTTTCTGAGAATGCTTCTGTCTAGTTTTTATGGGAAGACGTTCCCTTTTTCACCAAAGGCATCAAAGCGCTCCAAATGTCCACTTCCAGACACTACAAAAAGAGTGTTTCAAACGTGCTCTAAGAAAGCGAATGTTCAACTCTGTGACTTGAATGCAGATATCACAAAGTAGTTTGCTGAGAGGGCTTTCTGTCTAGATTTTAGATGATGATATTCCCGTTTCCAACGAAATCATTAGAGCTATTCAAATATCCACTTACAGTTTCTACAAAAAGAGTGTTTCCAAACTGCTGCATCAAAACAGAGGTTCCACTCTGTTAGCTGAGTACACACATCACAAACTTGTTTCTCAGAATCCTTCTGTCTCGTTTTTATGGGAAGATATTTACTTTTTCACCGTAGGCATCAAAGCGCTCCAAATGTCCACATCCAGATACTCCAGAAAGAGTGTTTCAAACCTGCTCTATGAAAGGGAATCTTCAACTCTATGAGTTGAATGCAGACATCAGAAAGAAATTTCTGAGAATGTTGCTGTCTACCTTTTATTTGAATTCCCGCTTCCAACGAAATCCTCCATGCTATCCAAATATACACTTGCAGATTCCACAAAAAGAGTGTTTCAAAACTGCTCTCTATCAATGGCAAAGTTCAACTCTGTTAGTTGAGGACACATATCACCAACAAGTTTCTGAGAATGCTTCTGTCTATTTTTTATGGGAAGATATTTCCTTTTTCACCGTAGGCGTCAAGGCGATCGAAATGTCCACTTCCACAAACTACAAAAAGAGTGTTTCAAACCTGCTCTATGAAAGGCCATGTTCATCTCTATGAGTTGAATGGAAATATCCGAAAGAAATTTCTGGGAATGCTGCTGTCTAGTTTTTATACGAATTACCGCTTCCAACGAAATCCTCAAAGCAATCCAAATATCCACTTGCAGAATCCACAAAAAGAGTGTTTCAAAACTGCTCTATCAATAGAAAGGTTCAAATCTTTTAGTTGAGTACACACATCATGAACAAGTTTCTGAGAATGCTTCTGTCTGGCTTTTATTGGAAGACGTTTCCTTTTCACCAAAGGCATCAAAGCGCTCCAAATGTCCACTTCCAGATTCTTCCAAAAGAGTGTTTCAAACGTGCTCAAAGTAAGGGAATGTTCAACTCTGTGACTTGAACGCAGATATCACCAAGTAGTTTCTAATAGTGCTTCTGTCTAGATTTTAGATGATGATATTCCCGTTTCCAACGAAATCGTTAGAGCTATCCAAATATCCACTTACAGTTTCTACAAAAAGAGTGTTTCCAAACTGCTGCATCAAAAGAAAGGTTCAACTCTGTTAGTTGAGGACACACATCACAAAGAAGTTTGTGAGAATGCTTCTGTCCAGATTTTGTATGACGATATTCCCTTTTCCAACGATATCGTTAAAGCAATCTAAATATCCATTTGCAGAATCCACAAAAATAGAGTTTCAAAGCTGCTCTGTAAAAAGAAAGGTTCCACTCTGTTAGCTGAGTACACACATCACAAACTTGTCTCTCAGAATCCTTGTCTGTCTCGTTTTTATGGGAAGATATTTACTTTTTCACCGTAGGCATCAAAGCGCTCCAAATGTCCACATCCAGATACTCCAGAAAGAGTGTTTCAAACCTGCTCTATGAAAGGGAATCTTCAACTTTATGAGTTGAATGCAGACATCAGAAAGAAATTTCTGAGAATGCTGCTGTCTACCTTTTATTTGAATTCCCGCTTCCAACGAAATCCTCCAAGCTATCCAAATATCCACTTGCATTTTCCACAAAAAGAGTGTTTCAAAACTGCTCTATCAATAGAAATGTTCAACTCCTTTGGCTGGGTACACACATCACAAACAAGTTTCTGAGAATGCTTCTGTCTAGTTTTTATGGGAAGACATTCCCTTTTTCACCAAAGGCATCAAAGCGCTCCAAATGTCCACTTCCAGACACTACAAAAAGAGTGTTTCCAACGTGCTCTAAGAAAGCGAATGTTCAACTCTGTGACTTGAATGCAGATATCACAAAGTAGTTTCTCAGAAGGCTTCTGTCTAGATTTTAGATGATGATATTCCCGTTTCCAACGAAATCATTAGAGCTATCCAAATATCCACTTACAGTTTCTACAAAAAGAGTGTTTCCAAACTGCTGCATCAAAAGAGAGGTTCCACTCTGTTAGCTGAGTACACACATCACAAACTTGTTTCTCAGAATCCTTCTGTCTCGTTTTTATGGGAAGATATTTACTTTTTCACCGTAGGCATCCAAGCGCTCCAAATGTCCACATCCAGATACTCCAGAAAGAGTGTTTCAAACCTGCTCTATGAAAGGGAATCTTCAACTCTATGAGTTGAATGCAGACATCAGAAAGAAATTTCTGAGAATGCTGCTGTCTACCTTTTATTTGAATTCCTGCTTCCAACGAAATCCTCCAAGCTATCCAAATATCCACTTGCAGATTCCACAAAAAGAGTGTTTCAAAACTGCTCTCTATCAATGGCAAAGTTCAACTCTGTTAGTTGAGGACACATATCACCAACAAGTTTCTGAGAATGCTTCTGTCTATTGTTTATGGGAAGATATTTCCTTTTTCACTGTAGGCGTCACGGCGATCGAAATGTCCACTTCCACAAACTACAAAAAGAGTGTTTCAAACCTGCTCTATGAAAGGCGATGTTCATCTCTATGAGTTGAATGGAAATATCCGAAAGAAATTTCTGGGAATGCTGCTGTCTAGTTTTTATATGAATTCCCGCTTCCAACGAAATCCTCAAAGCAATCCAAATATCCACTTGCAGAATCCACAAAAAGAGTGTTTCAAAACTGCTCTATCAATAGAAAGGTTCAACTCTTTTAGTTGAGTACACACATCACAAACAAGTTTACTGAGAATGCTTCTGTCTGGCTTTTATTAGAAGACGTTTCCTTTTCACCAAAGGCATCATCAAAGCGCTCCAAATGTCCACTTCCAGATTCTTCCAAAAGAGTGTTTGAAACGTGCTCAAAGTAAGGGAATGTTCAACTCTGTGACTTGAATGCAGATATCACCAAGTAGTTTCTAATACTTGCTTCTGTCTAGATTTTAGATGATGATATTCCCGTTTCCAACGAAATCGTTAGAGCTATCCAAATATCCACTTACAGTTGCTACAAAAACAGTGTTTCCAAACTGCTGCATCAAAAGAAAGGTTCAACTCTGTTAGTTGAGGACACACGTCACAAAGAAGTTTGTGAGAATGCTTCTGTCTAGATTTTGTATGACGATATTCCCTTTTCCAACGATATCGTTAAAGCAATCTAAATATCAATTTGCAGAATCCACAAAAATAGAGTTTCAAAGCTGCTCTGTAAAAAGAAAGGTTCCACTCTGTTAGCTGAGTACACACATCACAAACTTGTTTCTCAGAATCCTTCTGTCTCGTTTTTATGGGAAGATATTTACTTTTCCACCGTAGGCATCAAAGCGCTCCAAATGTCCACATCCAGATACTCCAGAACGAGTGTTTCAAACCTGCTCTATGAAAGGGAATCTTCAACTCTATGAGTTGAATGCAGACATCAGAAAGAAATTTCTGAGAATGCTGCTGTCTACCTTTTATTTGAATTCCCGCTTCCAACGAAATCCTCCAAGCTATCCAAATATCCACCTGCATTTTCCACAAAAAGAGTGTTTCAAAACTGCTCTATCAATAGAAATGTTCAACTCCTTTAGCTGGGTACACACATCACAAACAAGTTTCTGAGAATGCTTCTGTCTAGTTTTTATGGGAAGACATTCCCTTTTTCACCAAAGGCATCAAAGCGCTCCAAATGTCCACTTCCAGACACTACAAAAAGAGTGTTTCCAACGTGCTCTAAGAAAGCGAATGTTCAACTCTGTGACTTGAATGCAGATATCACAAAGTAGTTTCTGAGAGGGCTTCTGTCTAGATTTTAGATGATGATATTCCCGTTTCCAACGAAATCATTAGAGCTATCCAAACATCCACTTACAGTTTCTACAAAAAGAGTGTTTCCAAACTGCTGCTTCAAAAGAAAGGTTCAACTCTGTTAGTTGAGGACACACATCACAAAGAAGTTTGTGAGAATGCTTCTGTCTCGTTTTTATGGGAAGATTATACTTTTTCACCGTAGGCATCAAAGCGCTCCAAATGTCCACATCCAGATACTCCAGAAAGAGTGTTTCAAACCTGCTCTATGAAAGGGAATGTTCAACTCTATGAGTTGAATGCAGACATCAGAAAGAAATTTCTGAGAATGCTGCTGTCTACCTTTTATTTGAATTCCCGCTTCCAACGAAATCCTCCAAGCTATCCAAATATCCACTTGCAGATTCCACAAAAAGAGTGTTTCAAAACTGCTCTCTATCAATGGCAAAGTTCAACTCTGTTAGTTGAGGACACATATCACCAACAAGTTTCTGAGAATGCTTCTGTCTATTTTTTATGGGAAGATATTTCCTTTTTCAGCGTAGGCGTCAAGGCGATCGAAATGTCCACTTCCACAAACTACAAAAAGAGTGTTTCAAACCTGCTCTATGAAAGGCCATGTTCATCTCTATGAGTTGAATGGAAATATCCGAAAGAAATTTCTGGGAATGCTGCTGTCTAGTGTTTATACGAATTCCCGCTTCCAACGAAATCCTCAAAGCAATCGAAATATCCACTTGCAGAATCCACAAAAAGAGTGTTTCAAAACTGCTCTATCAATAGAAAGGTTCAACTCTTTTAGTTGAGTACACACATCACGAACAAGTTTCTGAGAAGGCTTCTGTCTGGCTTTTATTGGAAGACGTTTCCTTTTCACCAAAGGCATCAAAGCGCTCCAAATGTCCACTTCCAGATTCTTCCAAAAGAGTGTTTCAAACGTGCTCGAAGTAAGGGAATGTTCTACTCTGTGACTTGAATGCAGATATCACCAAGTAGTTTCTAATAGTGCTTCTGTCTAGATTTTAGATGATGATATTCCCGTTTCCAACGAAATCGTTAGAGCTATCCAAATATCCACTTACAGTTTCTACCAAAAGGGTGTTTCCAAATTGCTGCATCAAAAGAAAGGTTCAACTCTGTTAGTTGAGGACACACATCACAAAGAAGTTTGTGAGAATGCTTCTGTCTAGTATTTTGTATGACGATATTCCCTTTTCCAACGATATCGTTAAAGCAATCTAAATATCAATTTGCAGAATCCACAAAAATAGAGTTTCAAAGCTGCTCTGTAAAAATAAAGGTTCCACTCTGTTAGCTGAGTACACACATCACAAACTTGTTTCTGAGAATCCTTCTGTCTCGTTTTTATGGGAAAATATTTACTTTTCCACCGTAGGCATCAAAGCGCTCCAAATGTCCACATCCAGATACTCCAGAAAGAGTGTTTCAAACCTGCTCTATGAAAGGGAATCTTCAACTCTATGAGTTGAATGCAGACATCAGAAAGAAATTTCTGAGAATGCTGCTGTCTACCTTTTATTTGAATTCCCGCTTCCAACGAAATCCTCCTAGCTATCCAAACATCCACTTGCATTTTCCACAAAAAGAGTGTTTCAAAACTGCTCTATCAATAGAAACGTTCAACTCCTTTAGCTGGGTACACACATCACAAACAAGTTTCTGAGAACGCTTCTGTCTAGTTTTTATGGGAAGACATTCCCTTTTTCACCAAAGGCATCAAAGCGCTCCAAATGTCCACTTCCAGACACTACGAAAAGAGTGTTTCAAACGTGCTCTAAGAAACCGAATGTTCAACTCTGTGAGTTGAATGCAGATATCACAAAGTAGTTTCTGAGAGGGCTTCTGTCTAGATTTTAGATGATGATATTCCCGTTTCCAACGAAATCATGATAGCTATCCAAATATCCACTTACAGTTTCTACAAAAAGAGTGTTTCCAAACTGCTGCATCAAAACAGAGGTTCCACTCTGTTAGCTGAGTACACACATCACAAACTTGTTTCTGAGAATCCTGCTGTCTACCTTTTATTTGAATTCCCGCTTCCAACGAAATCCTCCAAGCTATCCAAATATCCACTTGCATTTTCCACAAAAAGAGTGTTTCAACACTGCTCTATCAATAGAAATGTTCAACTCCTTTAGCTAGGTACACACATCACAAACAAGTTTCTGAGAATGCTTTTGTCTATTTTTTATGGGAAGATATTTCCTTTTTCACCGTAGGCGTCAAGGCGATCGAAATGTCCACTTCCACAAACTACAAAAAGAGTGTTTCAAACCTGCTCTATGAAAGGCCATGTTCATCTCTATGAGTTGAATGGAAATATCCGAAAGAAATTTCTGGGAATGCTGCTGTCTAGTTTTTATATGAATTCCCGCTTCCAACGAAATCCTCAAAGCAATCCAAATATCCACTTGCAGAATCCACAAAAAGAGTGTTTCAAAACTGTGCTATCAATAGAAAGGTTCAACTCTTTTAGTTGAGTACACACATCACGAACAAGTTTCTGAGAATGCTTCTGTCTGGCTTTTATTGGAAGACGTTTCCTTTTCACCAAAGGCATCAAAGCGCTCCAAATGTCCACTTCCAGATTCTTCCAAAAGAGTGTTTCAAACGTGGTCGAAGTAAGGGAGTGTTCAACTCTGTGACTTGAATGCTGATATCACCAAGTAGTTTCTAATAGTGCTCTGTCTAGATTTTAGATGATGATATTCCCGTTTCCAACGAAATCGTTAGAGCTATCCAAATATCCACTTACAGTTGCTACAAAAACAGTGTTTCCAAACTGCTGCATCAAAAGAAAGGTTCAACTCTGTTAGTTGAGGACACACATCACAAAGAAGTTTGTGAGAATGCTCTCTGTCTAGGATTTTGTATGACGATATTCCCTTTTCCAACGATATCGTTAAAGCAATCTAAATATCAATTTGCAGAATCCACAAAAATAGAGTTTCAAAGCTGCTCTGTAAAAAGAAAGGTTCCACTCTGTTAGCTGAGTACACACATCACAAACTTGTTTCTCAGAATCCTGCTGTCTACCTTTTATTTGAATTCCCGCTTCCAACGAAATCCTCCAAGCTATCCAAATATCCACTTGCATTTTCCACAAAAAGAGTGTTTCAAAACTGCTCTATCAATGGAAATGTTCAACTCCTTTAGCTGGGTACACACATCACAAACAAGTTTCTGAGAATGCTTCTGTCTAGTTTTTATGGGAAGACATTTCCTTTTTCGCCAAAGGCATCAAAGAGCTCCAAATGTCCACTTCCAGATACTACAAAAAGTGTGTTTCAAAAGTGCTGTAAGAAAGCGAATGTTCAACTCTGTGACTTGAATGCAGATATCGCAAAGTAGTTTCTGAGAGCGCTTCTGTCTAGATTTTAGATGATGATATTCCCGTTTCCAACGAAATCATTAGAGCTATCCAAATATCCACTTACAGTTTCTACAAAAAGAGTGTTTCCAAACTGCTGCGTCAAAAGAGAGGTTCCACTCTGTTAGCTGAGTACACACATCACAAACTTGTTTCTGAGAATCCTTCTGTCTCGTTTTTATGGGAAGATATTTACTTTTTCACCGTAGGCATCAAAGCGCTCCAAATGTCCACATCCAGATACTCCAGAAAGAGTGTTTCAAACCTGCTCTACGAAAGGGAATGTTCAACTCTATGAGTTGAATGCAGACATCAGAAAGAAATTTCTGAGAATGCTGCTGTCTACCTTTTATTTGAATTCCCGCTTCCAACGAAATCCTCCAAGCTATCCAAATATCCACTTGCAGATTCCACAAAAAGAGTGTTTCAAAACTGCTCTCTATCAATGGCAAAGTTCAACTCTGTTAGTTGAGGACACATATCACCAACAAGTTTCTGAGAATGCTTCTGTCTATTTTTTATGGGAAGATATTTCCTTTTTCACCGTAGGCGTCAAGGCGATCGAAATGTCCACTTCCACAAACTACAAAAAGAGTGTTTCAAACCTGCTCTATGAAAGGCCATGTTCATCTCTATGAGTTGAATGGAAATATCCGAAAGAAATTTCTGGGAATGCTGCTGTCTAGTTTTTATACGAATTCACGCTTCCAACGAAATCCTCAAAGCAATCCAAATATCCACTTGCAGAATCCACAAAAAGAGTGTTTCAAAACTGCTCTATCAATAGAAAGGTTCAACTCTTTTAGTTGAGTACACACATCACAAACAAGTTTCTGAGAATGCTTCTGTCTGGCTTTTATTGGAAGACGTTTCCTTTTCACCAAAGGCATCAAAGCGCTCCAAATGTCCACTTCCAGATTCTTCCAAAAGAGTGTTTCAAACGTGCTCAAAGTAAGGGAATGTTCAACTCTTTGACTTGAATGCAGATATCACCAAGTAGTTTCTAATAGTGCTTCTGTCTAGATTTTAGATGACGATATTCCCGTTTCCAACGAAATCGTTAGAGCTATCCAAATATCCACTTACAGTTTCTACAAAAAGAGTGTTTCCAAACTGCTGCATCAAAAGAAAGGTTCAACTCTGTTAGTTGAGGACACACATCACAAAGAAGTTTGTGAGAATGCTTCTGTCTAGATTTTGTATGACCATATTCCCTTTTCCAGCGATATCGTTAAAGCAATCTAAATATCCATTTGCAGAATCCACAAAAATAGAGTTTCAAAGCTGCTCTGTAAAAAGAAAGGTTCCACTCTGTTAGCTGAGTACACACATCACAAACTTGTTTCTGAGAATCCTTCTGTCTCGTTTTTATGGGAAGATATTTACTTTTTCACCGTAGGCATCAAAGCGCTCCAAATGTCCACATCCAGATACTCCAGAAAGTGTTTCAAACCTGCTCTATGAAAGGGAATCTTCAACTCTATGAGTTGAATGCAGACATCAGAAAGAAATTTCTGAGAATGCTGCTGTCTACCTTTTATTTGAATTCCCGCTTCCAACGAAATCCTCCAAGCTATCCAAATATCCACTTGCATTTTCCACAAAAAGAGTGTTTCAAAACTGCTGTATCAATAGAAATGTTCAACTCCTTTAGCTGGGTACACACATCACAAACAAGTTTCTGAGAATGCTTCTGTCTAGTTTTTATGGGAAGATATTCCCTTTTTCACCAAAGGCATCAAAGCGCTCCAAATGTCCACTTCCAGACACTACAAAAAGAGTGTTTCAAACGTGCTCTAAGAAAGCGAATGTTCAACTCTGTGACTTGAATGCAGATATCACAAAGTAGTTTTTGAGAGGGCTTCTGTCTAGATTTTAGATGATGATATTCCCGTTTCCAACGAAATCATTAGAGCTATCCAAATATCCACTTACAGTTTCTACAAAAAGAGTGTTTCCAAACTGCTGCATCAAAAGAGAGGTTCCACTCTGTTAGCTGAGTACACACATCACAAACTTGTTTCTCAAGAATCCTGCTGTCTACCTTTTATTTGAATTCCCGCTTCCAACGAAATCCTCCAAGCTATCCAAATATCCACTTGCAGATTCCACAAAAAGAGTGTTTCAAAACTGCTCTCTATCAATGGCAAAGTTCAACTCTGTTAGTTGAGGACACATATCATCAACAAGTTTCTGAGAATGTTTCTGTCTATTTTTTAAGGGAAGATATTTCCTTTTTCACCGTAGGCGTCAAGGCGATCGAAATGTCCACTTCCACAAACTACAAAAAGAGTGTTTCAAACCTGCTCTATGAAAGGCCATGTTCATCTCTATGAGTTGAATGGAAATATCCGAAAGAAATTTCTGGGAATGCTGCTGTCTAGTGTTTATACGAATTCCCGCTTCCAACGAAATCCTCAAAGCAATCCAAATATCCACTTGCAGAATCCACAAAAAGAGTGTTTCAAAACTGCTCTATCAATAGAAAGGTTCAACTCTTTTAGTTGAGTACACACATCACGAACAAGTTTCTGAGAATGCTTCTGTCTGGCTTTTATTGGAAGACGTTTCCTTTTCACCAAAGGCATCAAAGCGCTCCAAATGTCCACTTCCAGATTCTTCCAGAAGAGTGTTTCAAACGTGCTCAAAGTAAGGGAATGTTCAACTCTGTGACTTGAATGCAGATATCACCAAGTAGTTTCTAATAGTGCTTCTGTCTAGATTTTAGATGATGATATTCCCGTTTCCAACGAAATCGTTAGAGCTATCCAAATATCCACTTACAGTTGCTACAAAAACAGTGTTTCCAAACTGCTGCATCAAAAGAAAGGTTCAACTCTGTTAGTTGAGGACACACGTCACAAAGAAGTTTGTGAGAATGCTTCTGTCCAGATTTTGTATGACGATATTCCCTTTTCCAATGATATCGTTAAAGCAATCTAAATATCCATTTGCAGAATCCACAAAAATAGAGTTTCAAAGCTGCTCTGTGAAAAGAAAGGTTCCACTCTGTTAGCTGAGTACACACATCACAAACTTGTTTCTGAGAATCCTTCTGTCTCGTTTTTATGGGAAGATATTTACTTTTTCACCGTAGGCATCAAAGCGCTCCAAATGTCCACATCCAGATACTCCAGAAAGAATGTTTCAAACCTGCTCTATGAAAGGGAATCTTCAACTCTATGAGTTGAATGCAGACATCAGAAAGAAATTTCTGAGAATGCTGCTGTCTACCATTTATTTGAATTCCCGCTTCCAACGAAATCTTCCAACCTATCCAAATATCCACCTGCATTTTCCACAAAAAGAGTGTTTCAAAACTGCTCTATCAATAGAAATGTTCAACTCCTTTAGCTAGGTACACACATCACAAACAAGTTTCTGAGAATGCTTCTGTCTAGTTTTTATGGGAAGACATTCCCTTTTTCACCAAAGGCATCAAAGCGCTCCAAATGTCCACTTCCAGACACTACAAAAAGAGTGTTTCCAACGTGCTCTAAGAAAGCAAATGTTCAACTCTGTGACTTGAATGCAGATATCACAAAGTAGTTTCTGAGAGGGCTTCTGTCTAGATTTTAGATGATGATATTCCCGTTTCCAACGAAATCATTAGAGCTATCCAAATATCCACTTACAGTTTCTACAAAAAGAGTGTTTCCAAACTGCTGCATCAAAAGAGAGGTTCCACTCTGTTAGCTGAGTACACACATCACAAACTTGTTTCTCAGAATCCTTCTGTCTCGTTTTTATGGGAAGATATTTACTTTTTCACTGTAGGCATCAAAGCGCTCCACATGTCCACATCCAGATACTACAGAAAGAGTATTTCAAACCTGTCCTATGAAAGGGAATGTTCAACTCTATGAGTTGAATGCAGACATCAGAAAGAAATTTCTGAGAATGCTGCTGTCTACCTTTTATTTGAATTCCCGCTTCCAACGAAATCCTCCAAGCTATACAAATATCCACTTGCAGATTCAGGAAAAAGAGTGTTTCAAAACTGCTCTCTATCAATGGCAAAGTTCAACTCTGTTAGTTGAGGACACATATCACCAACAAGTTTCTGAGAATGCTTCTGTCTATTTTTTATGGGAAGATATTTCCTTTTTCACCGTATGCGTCAAGGCGATCGAAATGTCCACTTCCACAAACTACAAAAAGAGTGTTTCAAACCTTCTCTATGAAAGGCCATGTTCATCTCTATGAGTTGAATGGAAATATCCGAAAGAAATTTCTGGGAATGCTGCTGTCTAGTTTTTATACGAATTCCCGCTTCCAACAAAATCCTCAAAGCAATCCAAATATCCACTTGCAGAATCCACAAAAAGAGTGTTTCAAAACTGCTCTATCAATAGAAAGGTTCAACTCTTTTAGTTGAGTACACACATCACAAACAAGTTTCTGAGAATGCTTCTGTCTGGCTTTTATTGGAAGACGTTTCCTTTTCACCAAAGGCATCATAGCGCTCCAAATGTCCACTTCCAGATTCTTCCAAAAGAGTGTTTCAAACGTGCTCAAAGTAAGGGAATGTTCAACTCTGTGACTTGAATGCAGATATCACCAAGTAGTCTCTAATAGTGCTTCTGTCTAGATTTTAGATGATGATATTCCCGTTTCCAACGAAATCGTTAGAGCTATCCAAATATCCACTTACAGTTTCTACAAAAAGAGTGTTTCCAAACTGCTGCATCAAAAGAAAGGTTCAACTCTGTTAGTTGAGGACACACATCACAAAGAAGTTTGTGAGAATGCTTCTGTCTAGATTTTGTATGACCATATTCCCTTTTCCAGCGATATCATTAAAGCAATCTAAATATCCATTTGCAGAATCCACAAAAATAGAGTTTCAAAGCTGCTGTGTAAAAAGAAAGGTTCCACTCTGTTAGCTGAGTACACACATCACAAACTTGTTTCTCAGAATCCTTCTGTCTCGTTTTTATGGGAAGATATTTACTTTTCCACCGTAGGCATCAAAGCGCTCCAAATGTCCACATCCAGATACTCCAGAAAGAGTGTTTCAAACCTGCTCTATGAAAGGGAATATTCAACTCTATGAGTTGAATGCAGACATCAGAAAGAAATTTCTGAGAATGCTGCTGTCTACCTTTTATTTGAACTCCCGCTTCCAACGAAATCCTCCAAGCTATCCAAATATCCACCTGCATTTTCCACAAAAAGAGCGCTTCAAAACTGCTCTATCAATAGAAATGTTCAACTCCTTTGGCTGGGTACACACATCACAAACAAGTTTCTGAGAATGCTTCAGTCTAGTTTTTATGGGAAGACGTTCCCTTTTTCACCAAAGGCATCAAAGCGCTCCAAATGTCCACTTCCAGACACTACAAAAAGAGTGTTTCCAACGTACTCTAAGAAAGCGAATGTTCAACTCTGTGACTTGAATGCAGATATCACAAAGTAGTTTCTGAGAGGGCTTCTGTCTAGATTTTAGATGATGATATTCCCGTTTCCAACGAAATCATTAGAGCTATCCAAATATCCACTTACAGTTTCTACAAAAAGAGTGTTTCCAAACTGCTGCATCAAAAGAGAGGTTCCACTCTGTTAGCTGAGTACACACATCACAAACTTGTTTCTCAGAATCCTTCTGTCTCGTTTTTATGGGAAGTTATTTACTTTTTCACCGTAGGCATCAAAGCGCTCCAAATGTCCACATCCAGATACTCCAGAAAGAGTGTTTCAAACCTGCTCTATGAAAGGGAATGTTCAACTCTACGAGTTGAATGCAGACATCAGAAAGAAATTTCTGAGAATGCTGCTGTCTACCTTTTATTTGAATTCCCGCTTCCAACGAAATCCTCCAAGCTATCCAAATATCCACTTGCAGATTCCACAAAAAGAGTGTTTCAAAACTGCTCTCTATCAATGGCAAAGTTCAACTCTGTTAGTTGAGGACACATATCACCAACAAGTTTCTGAGAATGCTTCTGTCTACTTTTTATGGGAAGATATTTCCTTTTTCACCGTAGGCGTCAAGGCGATCGAAATGTCCACTTCCACAAACTACAAAAAGAGTGTTTCAAACCTGCTCTATGAAAGGCCATGTTCATCTCTATGAGTTGAATGGAAATATCCGAAAGAAATTTCTGGGAATGCTGCTGTCTAGTGTTTATACGAATTCCCGCTTCCAACGAAATCCTCAAAGCAATCCAAATATCCACTTGCAGAATCCACAAAAAGAGTGTTTCAAAACTGCTCTATCAATAGAAAGGTTCAACTCTTTTAGTTGAGTACACACATCACGAACAAGTTTCTGAGAATGCTTCTGTCTGGCTTTTATTGGAAGACGTTTCCTTTTCACCAAAGGCATCAAAGTGCTCCAAATGTCCACTTCCAGATTCTTCCAAAAGAGTGTTTCAAACGTGCTCAAAGTAAGGGAATGTTCAACTCTGTGACTTGAATGCAGATATCACCAAGTAGTTTCTAATAGTGCTTCTGTCTAGATTTTAGATGATGATATTCCCGTTTCCAACGAAATCGTTAGAGCTATCCAAATATCCACTTACAGTTGCTACAAAAACAGTGTTTCCAAACTGCTGCATCAAAAGAAAGGTTCAACTCTGTTAGTTGAGGACACACATCACAAAGAAGTTTGTGAGAATGCTTCTGTCTAGATTTTGTATGACCATATTCCCTTTTCCAGCGATATCATTAAAGCAATCTAAATATCCATTTGCAGAATCCACAAAAATAGAGTTTCAAAGCTGCTCTGTAAAAAGAAAGGTTCCACTCTGTTAGCTGAGTACACACATCACAAACTTGTTTCTCAGAATCCTTCTGTCTCGTTTTTATGGGAAGATATTTACTTTCTCACCGTAGGCATCAAAGCGCTCCAAATGTCCACATCCAGATACTCCAGAAAGAGTGTTTCAAACCTGCTCTATGAAAGGGAATCTTCAACTCTATGAGTTGAATGCAGACATCAGAAAGAAATTTCTGAGAATGCTGCTGTCTACCTTTTATTTGAATTCCAGCTTCCAACGAAATCCTCCAAGCTATCCAAATATCCACCTGCATTTTCCACAAAAAGAGTGTTTCAAAACTGCTCTATCAATAGAAATGTTCAACTCCTTTGGCTGGGTACACACATCACAAACAAGTTTCTGAGAATGCTTCTGTCTAGTTTTTATGGGAAGACATTCCCTTTTTCACCAAAGGCATCAAAGCGCTCCAAATGTCCACTTCCAGACACTACAAAAAGGGTGTTTCAAACGTGCTCTAAGAAAGCGAATGTTCAACTCTGTGACTTGAATGCAGATATCACAAAGTAGTTTCTGAGAGGGCTTCTGTCTAGATTTTAGATGATGATATTCCCGTTTCCAACGAAATCATTAGAGCTATCCAAATATCCACTTACAGTTTCTACAAAAAGAGTGTTTCCAAACTGCTGCATCAAAAGAGAGGTTCCACTCTGTTAGCTGAGTACACACATCACAAACTTGTTTCTCAGAATCCTTCTGTCTCGTTTTTATGGGAAGATATTTACTTTTTCACCGTAGGCATCAAAGCGCTCCAAATGTCCACATCCAGATACTCCAGAAAGAGTGCTTCAAACCTGCTCTATGAAAGGGAATCTTCAACTCTATGAGTTGAATGCAGACATCAGAAAGAAATTTCTGAGAATGCTGCTGTCTACCTTTTATTTGAATTCCCGCTTCCAACGAAATCCTCCAAGCTATCCAAATATCCACTTGCAGATTCCACAAAAAGAGTGTTTCAAAACTGCTCTCTATCAATGGCAAAGTTCAACTCTGTTAGTTGAGGACACATATCACCAACAAGTTTCTGAGAATGCTTCTGTCTATTTTTTATGGGAAGATATTTCCTTTTTCACCGTAGGCGTCAAGGCGATCGAAATGTCCACTTCCACAAACTACAAAAAGAGTGTTTCAAACCTGCTCTATGAAAGGCCATGTTCATCTCTATGAGGTGAATGGAAATATCCGAAAGAAATTTCTGGGAATGCTGCTGTCTAGTTTTTATACGAATTCCCGCTTCCAACGAAATCCTCAAAGCAATCCAAATATCCACTTGCAGAATCCACAAAAAGAGTGTTTCAAAACTGCTCTATCAATAGAAAGGTTCAACTCTTTTAGTTGAGTACACACATCACAAACAAGTTTCTGAGAATGCTTCTGTCTGGCTTTTATTGGAAGGCGTTTCCTTTTCACCAAAGGCATCAAAGCGCTCCAAATGTCCACTTCCAGATTCTTCCAAAAGAGTGTTTCAAACGTGCTCAAAGTAAGGGAATGTTCAACTCTTTGACTTGAATGCAGATATCACCAAGTAGTTTCTAATAGTGCTTCTGTCTAGATTTTAGATGATGATATTCCCGTTTCCAACGAAATCGTTAGAGCTATCCAAATATCCAGTTACAGTTTCTACCAAAAGGGTGTTTCCAAATTGCTGCATCAAAAGAAAGGTTCAACTCTGTTAGTTGAGGACACACATCACAAAGAAGTTTGTGAGAATGCATCTGTCTAGATTTTGTATGACCATATTCCCTTTTCCAGCGATATCATTAAAGCAATCTAAATATCCATTTGCAGAATCCACAAAAATAGAGTTTCAAAGCTGCTCTGTAAAAAGAAAGGTTCCACTCTGTTAGCTGAGTACACACATCACAAACTTGTTTCTGAGAATCCTTCTGTCTCGTTTTTATGGGAAGATATTTACTTTTTCACCGTAGGCATCAAAGCGCTCCAAATGTCCACATCCAGATACTCCAGAAAGAGTGTTTCAAACCTGCTCTATGAAAGGGAATCTTCAACTGCTATGAGTTGAATGCAGACATCAGAAAGAAATTTCTGAGAATGCTGCTGTCTACCTTTTATTTGAACTCCCGCTTCCAACGAAATCCTCCAAGCTATCCAAATATCCACTTGCATTTTCCACAAAAAGAGTGTTTGAAAACTGCTCTATCAATAGAAATGTTCAACTCCTTTAGCTGGGTGCACACATCACAAACAAGTTTCTGAGAATGCTTCTGTCTAGTTTTTATGGGAAGACATTCCCTTTTTCACCAAAGGCATCAAAGCGCTCCAAATGTCCACTTCCAGACACTACAAAAAGAGTGTTTCCAACGTGCTCTAAGAAAGCGAATGTTCAACTCTGTGACTTGAATGCAGATATCACAAAGTAGTTTCTGAGAGGGCTTCTGTCTAGATTTTAGATGATGATATTCCCGTTTCCAACGAAATCATTAGAGCTATCCAAATATCCACTTACAGTTTCTACAAAAAGAGTGTTTCCAAACTGCTGCATCAAAACAGAGGTTCCACTCTGTTAGCTGAGTACACACATCACAAACTTGTTTCTCAGAATCCTGCTGTCTACCTTTTATTTGAATTCCCGCTTCCAACGAAATCCTCCAAGCTATCCAAATATCCACTTGCATTTTCCACAAAAAGAGTGTTTCTAAACTGCTCTATCAATGGCAAGGTTCAACTCTGTCAGTTGAGGATACACATCACAAACAAGTTTCTGAGAATTCTTCTGTCTATTTTTTATGGGAAGATATTTCCTTTTTCACCGTAGGCGTCAAGGCGATCGAAATGTCCACTTCCACAAACTACAAAAAGAGTGTTTCAAACCTGCTCTATGAAAGGCCATGTTCATCTCTATGAGTCGAATGGAAATATCCGAAAGAAATTTCTGGGAATGCTGCTGTCTAGATTTTATACGAATTCCCGCTTCCAACGAAATCCTCAAAACAATCCTAATATCCACTTGCAGAATCCACAAAAAGAGTGTTTCAAAACTGCTCTATCAATAGAAAGGTTCAACTCTTTTAGTTGAGTACACACATCACAAACAAGTTTCTGAGAATGCTTCTGTCTGGCTTTTATTGGAAGACGTTTCCTTTTCACCAAAGGCATCAAAGCGCTCCAAATGTCCACTTCCAGATTCTTCCAAAAGAGTGTTTCAAACGTGCTCAAAGTAAGGGAATGTTCAACTCTGTGACTTGAATGCAGATATCACCAAGTAGTTTCTAATAGTGCTTCTGTCTACATTTTAGATGATGATATTCCCGTTTCCAACGAAATCGTTAGAGCTATCCAAATATCCAGTTACAGTTTCTACCAAAAGGGTGTTTCCAAATTGCTGCATCAAAAGAAAGGTTCAACTCTGCTAGTTGAGGACACACATCACAAAGAAGTTTGTGAGAATGCTTCTGTCCAGATTTTGTATGACGTTATTCCCTTTTCCAACGATATCATTAAAGCAATCTAAATATCCATTTGCAGAATCCACAAAAATAGAGTTTCAAAGCTGCTCTGTAAAAAGAAAGGTTCCACTCTGTTAGCTGAGTACACACATCACAAACTTGTCTCTCAGAATCCTTCTGTCTCGTTTTTATGGGAAGATATTTACTTTTTCACCGTAGGCATCAAAGCGCTCCAAATGTCCACATCCAGATACTCCAGAAAGAGTGTTTCAAACCTGCTCTATGAAAGGGAATCTTCAACTCTATGAGTTGAATGCAGACATCAGAAAGAAATTTCTGAGAATGCTGCTGTCTACCTTTTATTTGAACTCCCGCTTCCAACGAAATCCTCCAAGCTATCCAAATATCCACTTGCATTTTCCACAAAAAGAGTGCTTCAAAACTGCTCTATCAATAAATGTTCAACTCCTTTAGCTGGGTGCACACATCACAAACAAGTTTCTGAGAATGCTTGTCTGTCTAGTTTTTATGGGAAGACATTTCCTATTTCACCAAAGGCATCAAAGAGCTCCAAATGTCCACTTCCAGATACTACAAAAAGAGTGTTTAAAAAGTGCTCTAAGAAAGCGAATGTTCAACTCTGTGACTTGAATGCAGATATCACAAAGTAGTTTCTGAGAGTGCTTCTGTCTAGATTTTAGATGATGATATTCCCGTTTCCAACGAAATCATTAGAGCTATCCAAATATCCACTTACAGTTTCTACAAAAAGAGTGTTTCCAAACTGCTGCATCAAAAGAGAGCTTCCACTCTGTTAGCTGAGTACACACATCACAAACTTGTTTCTCAGAATCCTGCTGTCTACCTTTTATTTGAATTCCCGCTTCCAACGAAATCCTCCAAACTATCCAAATATCCACTTGCAGATTCAGGAAAAAGAGTGTTTCAAAACTGCTCTCTATCAATGGCAAAGTTCAACTCTGTTAGTTGAGGACACATATCACCAACAAGTTTCTGAGAATGCTTCTGTCTATTTTTTATGGGAAGATATTTCCTTTTTCACCGTAGGTGTCAAGGCGATCGAAATGTCCACTTCCACAAACTACAAAAAGAGTGTTTCAAACCTGCTCTATGAAAGGCCATGTTCATCTCTATGAGTTGAATGGAAATATCCGAAAGAAATTTCTGGGAATGCTGCTGTCTAGTTGTTATACGAATTCCCGCTTCCAACGAAATCCTCAAAGCAATCCAAATATCCACTTGCAGAATCCACAAAAAGAGTGTTTCAAAACTGCTCTATCAATAGAAAGGTTCAACTCTTTTAGTTGAGTACACACATCACAAACAAGTTTCTGAGAATGCTTCTGTCTGGCTTTTATTGGAAGACGTTTCCTTTTCACCAAAGGCATCAAAGCGCTCCAAATGTCCACTTCCAGATTCTTCCAAAAGAGTGTTTCAAACCTGCTCAAAGTAAGGGAATGTTCAACTCTGTGACTTGAATGCAGATATCACCAAGTAGTTTCTAATAGTGCTTCTGTCTACCTTTTGATGATGATATTCCCGTTTCCAACGAAATCGTTAGAGCTATCCAAATATCCAGTTACAGTTTCTACCAAAAGGGTGTTTCCAAATTGCTGCATCAAAAGAAAGGTTCAACTCTGTTAGTTGAGGACACACAGCACAAAGAAGTTTGTGAGAATGCTTCTGTCTAGATTTTGTATGACGATATCCCTTTTCCAACGATATCGTTAAAGCAATCTAAATATCAATTTGCAGAATCCACAAAAATAGAGTTTCAAAGCTGCTCTGTAAAAAGAAAGGTTCCACTCTGTTAGCTGAGTACACACATCACAAACTTGTTTCTGAGAATCCTTCTGTCTCGTTTTTATGGGAAGATATTTACTTTTCCACCGTAGGCATCAAAGCGCTCCAAATGTCCACATCCAGATACTCCAGAACGAGTGTTTCAAACCTGCTCTATGAAAGGGAATGTTCAACTCTATGAGTTGAATGCAGACATCAGAAAGAAATTTCTGAGAATGCTGCTGTCTACCTTTTATTTGAATTCCCGCTTCCAACGAAATCCTCCAAGCTATCCAAATATCCACTTGCATTTTCCACAAAAAGAGTGTTTCAAAACTGCTCTATCAATAGAAATGTTCAACTCCTTTGGCTGGGTACACACATCACAAACAAGTTTCTGAGAATGCTTCTGTCTAGTTTTTATGGGAAGACATTCCCTTTTTCACCAAAGGCATCAAAGCGCTCCAAATGTCCACTTCCAGACACTACAAAAAGAGTGTTTCAAACGTGCTCTAAGAAAGCGAATGTTCAACCCTGTGACTTGAATGCAGATATCACAAAGTAGTTTCTGAGAGGGCTTCTGTCTAGATTTTAGATGATGATATTCCCGTTTCCAACGAAATCATTAGAGCTATCCAAATATCCACATACAGTTTCTACAAAAAGAGTGTTTCCAAACTGCTGCATCAAAAGAGAGGTTCCACTCTGTTAGCTGAGTACACACATCACAAACTTGTTTCTTAGAATCCTTCTGTATCGTTTTTATGGGAAGATATTTACTTTTTCACCGTAGGCATCAAAGCGCTCCAAATGTCCACATCCAGATACTCCAGAAAGAGTGTTTCAAACCTGCTCTATGAAAGGGAATCTTCAACTCTATGAGTTGAATGCAGACATCAGAAAGAAATTTCTGAGAATGCTGCTGTCTACCTTTTATTTGAATTCCCGCTTCCAATGAAATCCTCCAAGCTATCCAAATATCCACTTGCAGATTCCACAAAAAGAGTGTTTCAAAACTGCTCTCTATCAATGGCAAAGTTCAACTCTGTTAGTTGAGGACACATATCACCAACAAGTTTCTGAGAATGCTTCTGTCTATTTTTTATGGGAAGATATTTCCTTTTTCACCGTAGGCGTCAAGGCGATCGAAATGTCCACTTCCACAAACTACAAAAAGAGTGTTTCAAACCTGCTCTATGAAAGGCCATGTTCATCTCTATGAGTCGAATGGAAATATCCGAAAGAAATTTCTGGGAATGCTGCTGTCTAGTGTTTATACGAATTCCCGCTTCCAACGAAATCCTCAAAGCAATCCAAATATCCACTTGCAGAATCCACAAAAAGAGGGTTTCAAAACTGCTCTATCAATAGAAAGGTTCAACTCTTTAGTTGAGTACACACATCACAAACAAGTTTCTGAGAATGCTTCTGTCTGGCTTTTATTGGAAGACGTTTCCTTTTCACCAAAGGCATCAAAGCGCTCCAAATGTCCACTTCCAGATTCTTCCAAAAGAGTGTTTCAAACGTGCTCGAAGTAAGGGAATGTTCTACTCTGTGACTTGAATGCAGATATCACCAAGTAGTTTCTAATAGTGCTTCTGTCTAGATTTTAGATGATGATATTCCCGTTTCCAACGAAATCGTTAGAGCTATCCAAATATCCACTTACAGTTGCTACAAAAACAGTGTTTCCAAACTGCTGCATCAAAAGAAAGGTTCAACTCTGTTAGTTGAGGACACACGTCACAAAGAAGTTTGTGAGAATGCTTCTGTCTAGATTTTGTATGACGATATTCCCTTTTCCAACGATATCGTTAAAGGAATCTAAATATCCATTTGCAGAATCCACAAAAATAGAGTTTCAAAGCTGCTCTGTAAAAAGAAAGGTTCCACTCTGTTAGCTGAGTACACACATCACAAACTTGTTTCTCAGAATCCTTCTGTCTCGTTTTTATGGGAAGATATTTACTTTTCCACCGTAGGCATCAAAGCGCTCCAAATGTCCACATCCAGATACTCCAGAACGAGTGTTTCAAACCTGCTCTATGAAAGGGAATCTTCAACTCTATGAGTTGAATGCAGACATCAGAAAGAAATTTCTGAGAATGCTGCTGTCTACTTTTATTTGAATTCCCGCTTCCAACGAAATCCTCCAAGCTATCCAAATATCCACTTGCATTTTCCACAAAAAGAGTGTTTCAAAACTGCTCTATCAATAGAAATGTTCAACTCCTTTAGCTGGGTACACACATCACAAACAAGTTTCTGAGAATGCTTCTGTCTAGTTTTTATGGGAAGACATTCCCTTTTTCACCAAAGGCATCAAAGCACTCCAAATGTCCACTTCCAGACACTACAAAAAGAGTGTTTCCAACGTGCCCTAAGAAAGCGAATGTTCAACTCTGTGACTTGAATGCAGATATCACAAAGTAGTTTCTGAGAGGGCTTCTGTCTAGATTTTAGATGATGATATTCCCTTTTCCAACGAAATCATTAGAGCTATCCAAATATCCACTTACAGTTTCTACAAAAAGAGTGTTTCCAAACTGCTGCATCAAAAGAGAGGTTCCACTCTGTTAGCTGAGTACACACATCACAAACTTGTTTCTCAGAATCCTTCTGTCTCGTTTTTCTGGGTAAGATATTTACTTTTTCACCGTAGGCATCAAAGCGCTCCAAATGTCCACATCCAGATACTCCAGAAAGAGTGTTTCAAACCTGCTCTATGAAAGGGAATCTTCAACTCTATGAGTTGAATGCAGACATCAGAAAGAAATTTCTGAGAATGCTGCTGTCTACCTTTTATTTGAATTCCCGCTTCCAACGAAATCCTCCAAGCTATCCAAATATCCACTTGCAGATTCCACAAAAAGAGTGTTTCAAAACTGCTCTCTATCAATGGCAAAGTTCAACTCTGTTAGTTGAGGACACATATCACCAACAAGTTTCTGAGAATGCTTCTGTCTATTTTTTATGGGAAGATATTTCCTTTTTCACCGTAGGCGTCAAGGCGATCGAAATGTCCACTTCCACAAACTACAAAAAGAGTGTTTCAATATGAAAGGCCATGTTCATCTCTATGAGTTGAATGGAAAGATCCGAAAGAAATTTCTGGGAATGCTGCTGTCTAGTGTTTATACGAATTCCCGCTTCCAACGAAATCCTCAAAGCAATCCAAATATCCACTTGCAGAATCCACAAAAAGAGGGTTTCAAAACTGCTCTATCAATAGAAAGGTTCAACTCTTTTAGTTGAGTACACACATCACAAACAAGTTTCTGAGAATGCTTCTGTCTGGCTTTTATTGGAAGACGTTTCCTTTTCACCAAAGGCATCAAAGCGCTCCAAATGTCCACTTCCAGATTCTTCCAAAAGAGTGTTTCAAACGTGCTCGAAGTAAGGGAATGTTCTACTCTGTGACTTGAATGCAGATATCACCAAGAAGTTTCTAATAGTGCTTCTGTCTAGATTTTAGATGATGATATTCCCGTTTCCAACGAAATCGTTAGAGCTATCCAAATATCCACTTACAGTTGCTACAAAAACAGTGTTTCCAAACTGCTGCATCAAAAGAAAGGTTCAACTCTGTTAGTTGAGGACACACGTCACAAAGAAGTTTGTGAGAATGCTTCTGTCCAGATTTTGTATGACGATATTCCCTTTTCCAACGATATCGTTAAAGCAATCTAAATATCCATTTGCAGAATCCACAAAAATAGAGTTTCAAAGCTGCTCTGTAAAAAGAAAGGTTCCACTCTGTTAGCTGAGTACACACATCACAAACTTGTCTCTCAGAATCCTGCTGTCTACCTTTCATTTGAATTCCCGCTTCCAACGAAATCCTCCAAGCTATCCAAATATCCACCTGCATTTTCCACAACAAGAGTGTTTCAAAACTGCTCTATCAATAGAAATGTTCAACTCCTTTGGCTGGGTACACACATCACAAACAAGTTTCTGAGAATGCTTCTGTCTAGTTTTTATGGGTAGACATTCCCTTTTTCACCAAAGGAATCAAAGCGCTCCAAATGTCCACATCCAGACACTACAAAAAGAGTGTTTCAAACGTGCTCTAAGAAAGCGAATGTTCAACTCTGTGACTTGAATGCAGATATCACACAGTAGTTTCTGAGAGTGCTTCTGTCTAGATTTTAGATGATGATATTCCCGTTTCCAACGAAATCATTAGAGCTATCCAAATATCCACTTCCAGTTTCTACAAAAAGAGTGTTTCCAAACTACTGCATCAAAAGAGAGGTTCCACTCTGTTAGCTGAGTACACACATCACAAACTTGTTTCTCAGAATCCTGCTGTCTACCTTTTATTTGAATTCCCGCTTCCAACGAAATCCTCCAAGCTATCCAAATATCCACTTGCAGATTCCACAAAAAGAGTGTTTCAAAACTGCTCTCTATCAATGGCAAAGTTCAACTCTGTTAGTTGAGGACACATATCACCAACAAGTTTCTGAGAATGCTTCTGTCTATTTTTTATGGGAAGATATTTCCTTTTTCACCGTAGGCGTCAAGGCGATCGAAATGTCCACTTCCACAAACTACAAAAAGAGTGTTTCAAACCTGCTCTATGAAAGGCCATGTTCATCTCTATGAGTCGAATGGAAATATCCGAAAGAAATTTCTGGGAATGCTGCTGTCTAGTGTTTATACGAATTCCCGCTTCCAACGAAATCCTCAAAGCAATCCAAATATCCACTTGCAGAATTCACAAAAAGAGTGTTTCAAAACTGCACTATCAATAGAAAGGTTCAACTCTTTTAGTTGAGTACACACATCACAAACAAGTTTCTGAGAATGCTTCTGTCTGGCTTTTATTGGAAGACGTTTCCTTTTCACCAAAGGCATCAAAGCGCTCCAAGTGTCCACTTCCAGATTCTTCCAAAAGAGTGTTTCAAACGTGGTCGAAGTAAGGGAATGTTCAACTCTGTGACTTGAATGCAGATATCACCAAGTAGTTTCTAATAGTGCTTCTGTCTAGATTTTAGATGATGATATTCCCGTTTCCAACGAAATCGTTAGAGCTATCCAAATATCCACTTACAGTTTCTACAAAAAGAGTGTTTCCAAACTGCTGCATCAAAAGAAAGGTTCAACTCTGTTAGTTGAGGACACACATCACAAAGAAGTTTGTGAGAATGCTTCTGTCTAGATTTTGTATGACGATATTCCCTTTTCCAACGATATCCTTAAAGCAATCTAAATATCAATTTGCAGAATCCACAAAAATAGAGTTTCAAAGCTGCTCTGTAAAAAGAAAGGTTCCACTCTGTTAGCTGAGTACACACATCACAAACTTGTTTCTGAGAATCCTTCTGTCTCGTTTTTATGGGAAGATATTTACTTTTTCACCGTAGGCATCAAAGCGCTCCAAATGTCCACATCCAGATACTCCAGAAAGAGTGTTTCAAACCTGCTCTATGAAAGGGAATCTTCAACTCTATGAGTTGAATGCAGACATCAGAAAGAAATTTCTGAGAATGCTGCTGTCTACCTTTTATTTGAATTCCCGCTTCCAACGAAATCCTCCAAGCTATCCAAATATCCACCTGCATTTTCCACAACAAGAGTGTTTCAAAACTGCTCTATCAATAGAAATGTTCAACTCCTTTGGCTGGGTACACACATCACAAACAAGTTTCTGAGAATGCTTCTGTCTAGTTTTTATGGGAAGACGTTCCCTTTTTCACCAAAGGCATCAAAGCGCTCCAAATGTCCACTTCCAGACACTACAAAAAGAGTGTTTCAAACGTGCTCTAAGAAAGCGAATGTTCAACTCTGTGACTTGAATGCAGATATCACAAAGTGGTTTCTGAGAGGGCTTCTGTCTAGATTTTAGTTGATGATATTCCCGTTTCCAACGAAATCATTAGAGCTATCCAAATATCCACTTACAGTTTCTACAAAAAGAGTGTTTCCAAACTGCTGCATCAAAAGAGAGGTTCCACTCTGTTAGCTGAGTACACACATCACAAACTTGTTTCTCAGAATCCTTCTGTCTCGTTTTTATGGGAAGATATTTACTTTTTCACCGTAGGCATCAAAGCGCTCCAAATGTCCATATCCAGATACTCCAGAAAGAGTGTTTCAAACTTGCTCTATGAAAGGGAATCTTCAACTCTATGAGTTGAATGCAGACATCAGAAAGAAATTTCTGAGAATGCTGCTGTCTACCTTTTATTTGAATTCCCGCTTCCAACGAAATCCTCCAAGCTATCCAAATATCCACTTGCAGATTCCACAAAAAGAGTGTTTCAAAACTGCTCTCTATCAATGGCAAAGTTCAACTCTGTTAGTTGAGGACACATATCACCAACAAGTTTCTGAGAATGTTTCTGTCTATTTTTTATGGGAAGATATTTCCTTTTTCACCGTATGCGTCAAGGCGATCGAAATGTCCACTTCCACAAACTACAAAAAGAGTGATTCAAAACTGCTCTATGAAAGGCCATGTTCATCTCTATGAGTTGAATGGAAATATCCGAAAGAAATTTCTGGGAATGCTGCTGTCTAGTTTTTATACGAATTCCCGCTTCCAACGAAATCCTCAAAGCAATCCAAATATCCACTTGCAGAATCCACAAAAAGAGTGTTTCAAAACTGCTCTATCAATAGAAAGGTTCAACTCTTTTAGTTGAGTACACACATCACAAACAAGTTTCTGAGAATGCTTCTGTCTGGCTTTTATTGGAAGACGTTTCCTTTTCACCAAAGGCATCAAAGCGCTCCAAATGTCCACTTCCAGATTCTTCCAAAAGAGTGTTTGAAACGTGCTCAAAGTAAGGGAATGTTCAACTCTGTGACTTGAATGCAGATATCACTAAGTAGTTTCTAATAGTGCTTCTGTCTAGATTTTAGATGATGATATTCCCGTTTCCAACGAAATCGTTAGAGCTATCCAAATATCCACTTACAGTTTCTACAAAAAGAGTGTTTCCAAACTGCTGCATCAAAAGAAAGGTTCAACTCTGTTAGTTGAGGACACACATCACAAAGAAGTTTGTGAGAATGCTTCTGTCTAGATTTTGTATGACGATATTCCCTTTTCCAACGATATCGTTAAAGCAATCTAAATATCAATTTGCAGATTCCACAAAAATAGAGTTTCAAAGCTGCTCTGTAAAAAGAAAGGTTCCACTCTGTTAGCTGAGTACACACATCACAAACTTGTTTCTGAGAATCCTTCTGTCTCGTTTTTATGGGAAGATATTTACTTTTCCACCGTAGGCATCAAAGCGCTCCAAATGTCCACATCCAGATACTCCAGAACGAGTGTTTCAAACCTGCTCTATGAAAGGGAATCTTCAACTCTATGAGTTGAATGCAGACATCAGAAAGAAATTTCTGAGAATGCTGCTGTCTACCTTTTATTTGAATTCCCGCTTCCAACGAAATCCTCCAAGCTATCCAAATATCCACCTGCATTTTCCACAAAAAGAGTGTTTCAAAACTGCTCTATCAATAGAAATGTTTAACTCCTTTGGCTGGGTACACACATCACAAACAAGTTTCTGAGAATGCTTCTGTCTAGTTTTTATGGGAAGACATTCCCTTTTTCACCAAAGGCATCAAAGCGCTCCAAATGTCCACTTCCAGACACTACAAAAAGAGTGTTTCAAACGTGCTCTAAGAAAGCGAATGTTCAACTCTGTGACTTGAATGCAGATATCACAAAGTAGTTTCTGAGAGGGCTTCTGTCTAGATTTTAGATGATGATATTCCCATTTCCAACGAAATCATTAGAGCTATCCAAATATCCACTTACAGTTTCTACAAAAAGAGTGTTTCCAAACTGCTGCATCAAAAGAAAGGTTCAACTCTGTTAGTTTAGGACACACATCACAAAGAAGTTTGTGAGAATGCTTCTGTCTCGTTTTTATGGGAAGATATTTACTTTTTCACCGTAGGCATCAAAGCGCTCCAAATGTCCACATCCAGATACTCCAGAAAGAGTGTTTCAAACCAGCTCTATGAAAGGGAATCTTCAACTCTATGAGTTGAATGCAGACATCAGAAAGAAATTTCTGAGAATGCTGCTGTCTACCTTTTATTTGAATTCCCGCTTCCAACGAAATCCTCCAAGCTATCCAAATATCCACTTGCAGATTCCACAAAAAGAGTGTTTCAAAACTGCTCTCTATCAATGGCAAAGTTCAACTCTGTTAGTTGAGGACACATATCACCAACAAGTTTCTGAGAATGCTTCTGTCTATTGTTTATGGGAAGATATTTCCTTTTTCACCGTAGGCGTCAAGGCGATCGAAATGTCCACTTCCACAAACTACAAAAAGAGTGTTTCAAACCTGCTCTATGAAAGGCCATGTTCATCTCTATGAGTTGAATGGAAATATCCGAAAGAAATTTCTGGGAATGCTGCTGTCTAGTGCTTATACGAATTCCCGCTTCCAACGAAATCCTCAAAGCAATTCAAATATCCACTTGCAGAATCCACAAAAAGAGTGTTTCAAAACTGCTCTATCAATAGAAAGGTTCAACTCTTTTAGTTGAGTACACACATCACGAACAAGTTTCTGAGAATGCTTCTGTCTAGTTTTTATGGGAAGACATTCCCTTTTTCACCAAAGGCATCAAAGCGCTCCAAATGTCCACTTCCAGATTCTTCCAAAAGAGTGTTTCAAACGTGGTCGAAGTAAGGGAATGTTCTACTCTGTGACTTGAATGCAGATATCACCAAGTAGTTTCTAATAGTGCTTCTGTCTAGATTTTAGGTGATGATATTCCCGTTTCCAACGAAATCGTTAGAGCTATCCAAATATCCAGTTACAGTTTCTACCAAAAGGGTGTTTCCAAATTGCTGCATCAAAAGAAAGGTTCAACTCTGTTAGTTGAGGACACACATCACAAAGAAGTTTGTGAGAATGCTTCTGTCTAGATTTTGTATGACGATATTCCCTTTTCCAACGATATCGTTAAAGCAATCTAAATATCAATTTGCAGAATCCACAAAAATAGAGTTTCAAAGTTGCTCTGTAAAAAGAAAGGTTCCACTCTGTTAGCTGAGTACACACATCACAAACTTGTTTCTGAGAAACCTTCTGTCTCGTTTTTATGGGAAGATATTTACTTTTCCACTGTAGGCATCAAAGCGCTCCAAATGTCCACATCCAGATACTCCAGAACGAGTGTTTCAAACCTGCTCTATGAAAGGGAATCTTCAACTCTATGAGTTGAATGCAGAATCAGAAAGAAATTTCTGAGAATGCTGCTGTCTACCTTTTATTTGAACTCCCGCTTCCAACGAAATCCTCCAAGCTATCCAAATATCCACTTGCATTTTCCACAAAAAGAGTGCTTCAAAACTGCTCTATCAATAAATGTTCAACTCCTTTAGCTGGGTGCACACATCACAAACAAGTTTCTGAGAATGCTTCTGTCTAGTTTTTATGGGAAGACATTCCCTTTTTCACCAAAGGCATCAAAGCGCTCCAAATGTCCACTTCCAGACACTACAAAAAGAGTGTTTCCAACGTGCTCTAAGAAACCGAATGTTCGACTCTGTGACTTGAATGCAGATATCACAAAGTAGTTTCTGAGAGGGCTTCTGTCTAGATTTTAGATGATGATATTCCCGTTTCCAACGAAATCATTAGAGCTATCCAAATATCCACTTACAGTTTCTACAAAAAGAGTGTTTCCAAACTGCTGCATCAAAAGAGAGGTTCCACTCTGTTAGCTGAGTACACACATCACAAACTTGTTTCTCAGAATCCTTCTGTCTCGTTTTTATGGGAAGATTATACTTTTTCACCGTAGGCATCAATGCGCTCCAAATGTCCACATCCAGATACTACAGAAAGAGTGTTTCAAACCTGCTCTATGAAAGGGAATCTTCAACTCTATGAGTTGAATGCAGACATCAGAAAGAAATTTCTGAGAATGCTGCTGTCTACCTTTTATTTGAATTCCCGCTTCCAACGAAATCCTCCAAGCTATCCAAATATCCACTTGCAGATTCCACAAAAAGAGTGTTTCAAAACTGCTCTCTATCAATGACAAAGTTCAACTCTGTTAGTTGAGGACACATATCACCAACAAGTTTCTGAGAATGCTTCTGTCTATTTTTTATGGGAAGATATTTCCTTTTTCACCGTAGGCATCAAGGCGATCGAAATGTCCACTTCCACAAACTACAAAAAGAGTGTTTCAAACCTGCTCTATGAAAGGCCATGTTCATCTCTATGAGTTGAATGGAAATATCCGAAAGAAATTTCTGGGAATGCTGCTGTGTAGTTGTTATACGAATTCCCGCTTCCAACGAAATCCTCAAAGCAATCCAAATATCCACTTGCAGAATCCACAAAAAGAGTGTTTCAAAACTGCTCTATCAATAGAAAGGTTCAACTCTTTTAGTTGAGTACACACATCACAAACAAGTTTCTGAGAATGCTTCTGTCTGGCTTTTATTGGAAGACGTTTCCTTTTCACCAAAGGCATCAAAACGCTCCAAATGTCCACTTCCAGATTCTTCCAAAAGAGTGTTTCAAACGTGCTCAAAGTAAGGGAATGTTCAACTCTGTGACTTGAATGCAGATATCACCAAGTAGTTTCTAATAGTGCTTCTGTCTAGATTTTAGATGATGATATTCCCGTTTCCAACGAATTCGTTAGAGCTATCCAAATATCCACTTACAGTTTCTACCAAAAGGGTGTTTCCAAACTGCTGCATCAAAAGAAAGGTTCAACTCTGTTAGTTGAGGACACACATCACAAAGAAGTTTGTGAGAATGCTTCTGTCTAGATTTTGTATGACGATATTCCCTTTTCCAACGATATCGTTAAAGCAATCTAAATATCAATTTGCAGAATCCACAACAATAGAGTTTCAAAGCTGCTCTGTAAAAAGAAAGGTTCCACTCTGTTAGCTGAGTACACACATCACAAACTTGTTTCTGAGAATCCTTCTGTCTCGTTTTTATGGGAAGATATTTACTTTTCCACCGTAGGCATCAAAGCGCTCCAAATGTCCACATCCAGATACTCCAGAACGAGTGTTTCAAACCTGCTCTATGAAAGGGAATCTTCAACTCTATGAGTTGAATGCAGACATCAGAAAGAAATTTCTGAGAATGCTGCTGTCAACCTTTTATTTGAATTCCCGCTTCCAACGAAATCCTCCAAGCTATCCAAATATCCACCTGCATTTTCCACAAAAAGAGTGTTTCAAAACTGCTCTATCAATAGAAATGTTCAACTCCTTTGGCTGGGTACACACATCACAAACAAGTTTCTGAGAATGCTTCTGTGTAGTTTTTATGGGTAGACATTCCCTTTTTCACCAAAGGAATCAAAGCGCTCCAAATGTCCACTTCCAGACACTACAAAAAGAGTGTTTCAAACGTGCTCTAAGAAAGCGAATGTTCAACTCTGTGACTTGAATGCAGATATCACACAGTAGTTTCTGAGAGTGCTTCTGTCTAGATTTTAGATGATGATATTCCCGTTTCCAACGAAATCATTAGAGCTATCCAAATATCCACTTACAGTTTCTACAAAAAGAGTGTTTCCAAACTGCTGCATCAAAAGAGAGGTTCCACTCTGTTAGCTGAGTACACACATCACAAACTTGTTTTTCAGAATCCTTCTGTCTCGTTTTTATGGGAAGATATTTGCTTTTTCACCGTAGGCATCAAAGCGCTCCAAATGTCCACATCCAGATACTCCAGAAAGAGTGTTTCAAACCTGCTCTATGAAAGGGAATCTTCAACTCTATGAGTTGAATGCAGACATCAGAAAGAAATTTCTGAGAATGCTGCTGTCTACCTTTTATTTGAATTCCCGCTTCCAACGAAATCCTCCAAGCTATCCAAATATCCACTTGCAGATTCCACAAAAAGAGTGTTTCAAAACTGCTCTCTATCAATGGCAAAGTTCAACTCTGTTAGTTGAGGACACATATCACCAACAAGTTTCTGAGAATGCTTCTGTCTAATTTTTATGGGAAGATATTTCCTTTTTCACCGTATGCGTCAAAGCGATCGAAATGTCCACTTCCACAAACAACAAAAAGAGTGTTTCAAACCTGCTCTATGAAAGGCCATGTTCATCTCTATGAGTTGAATGGAAATATCCGAAAGAAATTTCTGGGAATGCTGCTGTCTAGTTTTTATATGAATTCCCGCTTGCAACGAAATCCTCAAAGCAATCCAAATATCCACTTGCAGAATCCACAAAAAGAGTGTTTCAAAACTGCGCTATCAATAGAAAGGTTCAACTCTTTTAGTTGAGTACACACATCACGAACAAGTTTCTGAGAATGCTTCCTGTCTGGCTTTTATTGGAAGACGTTTCCCTTTTCACCAAAGGCATCAAAGCGCTCCAAATGTCCACTTCCAGATTCTTCCAAAAGAGTGTTTCAAACGTGCTCAAAGTAAGGGAATGTTCAACTCTGTGACTTGAATGCAGATATCACCAAGTAGTTTCTAATAGTGCTTCTGTCTAGATTTTAGATGATGATATTCCCGTTTCCAACGAAATCGTTACAGCTATCCAAATATCCACTTACAGTTTCTACAAAAAGAGTGTTTCCAAACTGCTGCATCAAAAGAAAGGTTCAACTCTGTTAGTTGAGGACACACATCACAAAGAAGTTTGTGAGAATGCTTCTGTCTAGATTTTGTATGACGATATTCCCTTTTACAACGATATCGTTAAAGCAATCTAAATATCAATTTGCAGAATCCACAAAAATAGAGTTTCAAAACTGCTCTGTAAAAAGAAAGGTTCCACTCTGTTAGCTGAGTACACACATCACAAACTTGTTTCTGAGAATCCTTCTGTCTCGTTTTTATGGGAAGATATTTACTTTTCCACCGTAGGCATCAAAGCGCTCCAAATGTCCACATCCAGATACTCCAGAACGAGTGTTTCAAACCTGCTCTATGAAAGGGAATCTTCAACTCTATGAGTTGAATGCAGACATCAGAAAGAAATTTCTGAGAATGCTGCTGTCTACCTTTTATTTGAATTCCCGCTTCCAACGAAATCCTCCAAGCTATCCAAATATCCACCTGCATTTTCCACAAAAAGAGCGTTTCAAAACTGCTCTATCAATAGAAATGTTCAACTCCTTTGGCTGGGTACACACATCACAAACAAGTTTCCTGAGAATGCTTCTGTCTAGTTTTTATGGGTAGACATTCCCTTTTTCACCAAAGGAATCAAAGCGCTCCAAATGTCCACTTCCAGACACTACAAAAAGAGTGTTTCAAACGTGCTCTAAGAAAGCGAATGTTCAACTCTGTGACTTGAATGCAGATATCACACAGTAGTTTCTGAGAGTGCTTCTGTCTAGATTTTAGATGATGATATTCCCGTTTCCAACGAAATCATTAGAGCTATCCAAATATCCACTTACACTTTCTACAAAAAGAGTGTTTCCAAACTGCTGCATCAAAAGAGAGGTTCCACTCTGTTAGCTGAGTACACACATCACAAACTTGTTTCTGAGAATCCTTCTGTCTCGTTTTTATGGGAAGATATTTACTTTTTCACCGTAGGCATCAAAGCGCTCCAAATGTCCACATCCAGATACTACAGAAAGAGTATTTCAAACCTGCCCTATGAAACGGAATCTTCAACTCTATGAGTTGAATGCAGAGATCAGAAAGAAATTTCTGAGAATGCTGCTGTCTACCTTTTATTTGAATTCCCGCTTCCAACGAAATCCTCCAAGCTATCCAAATATCCACTTGCAGATTCCACAAAAAGAGTGTTTCAAAACTGCTCTCTATCAATGGCAAAGTTCAACTCTGTTAGTTGAGGACACATATCACCAACAAGTTTCTGAGAATGCTTCTGTCTATTTTTTATGGGAAGATATTTCCTTTTTCACCGTAGGCGTCAAGGCGATCGAAATGTCCACTTCCACAAACTACAAAAAGAGTGTTTCAAACCTGCTCTATGAAAGGCGATGTTCATCTCTATGAGTTGAATGGAAATATCCGAAAGAAATTTCTGGGAATGCTGCTGTCTAGTTTTTATATGAATTCCCGCTTCCAACGAAATCCTCAAAGCAATCCAAATATCCACTTGCAGAATCCACAAAAAGAGTGTTTCAAAACTGCTCTATCAATAGAAAGGTTCAACTCTTTTAGTTGAGTACACACATCACAAACAAGTTTCTGAGAATGTTTCTGTCTGGCTTTTATTGGAAGACGTTTCCTTTTCACCAAAGGCATCAAAGCGCTCCAAATGTCCACTTCCAGATTCTTCCAAAAGAGTGTTTGAAACGTGCTCAAAGTAAGGGAATGTTCAACTCTGTGACTTGAATGCAGATATCACCAAGTAGTTTCTAATAGTGCTTCTGTCTAGATTTTAGATGATGATATTCCCGGTTTCCAACGAAATCGTTAGAGCTATCCAAATATCCACTTACAGTTGCTACAAAAACAGTGTTTCCAAACTGCTGCATCAAAAGAAAGGTTCAACTCTGTTAGTTGAGGACACACGTCACAAAGAAGTTTGTGAGAATGCTTCTGTCTAGATTTTGTATGACGGTATTCCCTTTTCCAACGATATCGTTAAAGCAATCTAAATATCAATTTGCAGAATCCACAACAATAGAGTTTCAAAGCTGCTCTGTAAAAAGAAAGGTTCCACTCTGCTAGCTGAGTACACACATCACAAACTTGTTTCTGAGAATCCTTCTGTCTCGTTTTTATGGGAAGATATTTACTTTTCCACGGTAGGCATCAAAGCGCTCCAAATGTCCACATCCAGATACTCCAGAACGAGTGTTTCAAACCTGCTCTATGAAAGGGAATCTTCAACTCTATGAGTTGAATGCAGACATCAGAAAGAAATTTCTGAGAATGCTGCTGTCTACCTTTTATTTGAATTCCCGCTTCCAACGAAATCCTCCAAGCTATCCAAATATCAACTTGCATTTTCCACAAAAAGAGTGTTTCAAAACTGCTCTATCAATAGAAATGTTCAACTCCTTTAGCTGGGTACACACATCACAAACAAGTTTCTGAGAATGCTTCTGTCTAGTTTTTATGGGAATACATTCCCTTTTTCACCAAAGGCATCAAAGCGCTCCAAATGTCCACTTCCAGACACTACAAAAAGAGTGTTTCCAACGTGCTCTAAGAAAGCGAATGTTCAACTCTGTGACTTGAATGCAGATATCACAAAGTAGTTTCTAATAGTGCTTCTGTCTAGATTTTAGATGATGATATTCCCCGTTTCCAAAGAAATCATTAGAGCTATCCAAATATCCACTTACAGTTTCTACAAAAAGAGTGTTTCCAAACTGCTGCATCAAAAGAGAGGTTCCACTCTGTTAGCTGAGTACACACATCACAAACTTGTTTCTCAGAATCCTTCTGTCTAGCTTTTATGGGAAGATATTTTCTTTTTCACCGTAGGCATCAAAGCGTTCCAAATGTCCACATCCAGATAGTACAGAAAGAGCGTTTCAAACCTGCTCTATGAAAGGGAATGTTCAACTCTATGAGTTGAATGCAAACGTCACAAAGAAATTTCTGAGAATGCTGCTGTCTACCTTTCATTTGAATTCCCGCTTCCAACGAAATCCTCCAGGCTATCCAAATATCCACTTGCAGATTCCACAAAAAGAGTGTTTCTAAACTGCTCTATCAATGGCAAGGTTCAACTCTGTCAGTTGAGGATACACATCACAAACAAGTTTCTGAGAATTCTTCTGTCTATTTTTTATGGGAAGATATTTCCTTTTTCACCGTAGGCGTCAAGGCGATCGAAATGTCCACTTCCACAAACTACAAAAAGAGTGTTTCAAACCTGCTCTATGAAAGGCCATGTTCATCTCTATGAGTTGAATGGAAATATCCGAAAGAAATTTCTGGGAATGTTGCTGTCTAGTTGTTATACGAATTCCCGCTTCCAACGAAATCCTCAAAGCAATCCAAATATCCACTTGCAGAATCCACAAAAAGAGTGTTTCAAAACTGCTCTATCAATAGAAAGGTTCAACTCTTTTAGTTGAGTATACACATCAAGAACAAGTTTCTGAGAATGCTTCTGTCTGGCTTTTATTGGAAGACGTTTCCTTTTCACCAAAGGCATCAAAGCGCTCCAAATGTCCACTTCCAGATTCTTCCAAAAGAGTGTTTGAAACGTGCTCAAAGTAAGGGAATGTTCAACTCTGTGACTTGAATGCAGATATCACCAAGTAGTTTCTAATAGTGCTTCTGTCTAGATTTTAGATGATGATATTCCCGTTTCCAACGAAATTGTTAGAGCTATCCAAATATCCACTTACAGTTTCTACAAAAAGAGTGTTTCCAAACTGCTGCATCAAAAGAAAGGTTCAACTCTGTTAGTTGAGGACACACATCACAAAGAAGTTTGTGAGAATGCTTCTGTCTAGATTTTGTATGACCATATTCCCTTTTCCAGCGATATCATTAAAGCAATCTAAATATCCATTTGCAGAATCCACAAAAATAGAGTTTCAAAGCTGCTCTGTAAAAAGAAAGGTTCCACTCTGTTAGCTGAGTACACACATCACAAACTTGTTTCTCAGAATCCTTCTGTCTCGTTTTTATGGGAAGATATTTACTTTTTCACCGTAGGCATCAAAGCGCTCCAAATGTACACATCCAGATACTCCAGAAAGAGTGTTTCAAACCTGCTCTATGAAAGGGAATCTTCAACTCTATGAGTTGAATGCAGACATCAGAAAGAAATTTCTGAGAATGCTGCTGTCTACCTTTTATTTGAATTCCCGCTTCCAACGAAATCCTCCAAGCTATCCATATATCCACCTGCATTTTCCACAAAAAGAGTGTTTCAAAACTGCTCTATCAATAGAAATGTTCAACTCCTTTGGCTGGGTACACACATCACAAACAAGTTTCTGAGAATGCTTCTGTCTAGTTTTTATGGGTAGACATTCCCTTTTTCACCAAAGGAATCAAAGCGCTCCAAATGTCCACTTCCAGACACTACAAAAAGAGTGTTTCAAACGTGCTCTAAGAAAGCGAATGTTCAACTCTGTGACTTGAATGCAGATATCACAAAGTAGTTTCTGAGAGTGCTTCTGTCTAGATTTTAGATGATGATATTCCCGTTTCCAACGAAATCATTAGAGCTATCCAAATATCCACTTACAGTTTCTACAAAAAGAGTGTTTCCAAACTGCTGCATCAAAACAGAGGTTCCACTCTGTTAGCTGAGTACACACATCACAAACTTGTTTCTCAGAATCCTTCTGTCTCGTTTTTATGGGAAGATATTTACTTTCTCACCGTAGGCATCAAAGCGCTCCAAATGTCCACATCCAGATACTCCAGAAAGAGTGTTTCAAACCTGCTCTATGAAAGGGAATCTTCAAATCTATGAGTTGAATGCAGACATCAGAAAGAAATTTCTGAGAATGCTGCTGTCTACCTTTTATTTGAATTCCCGCTTCCAACGAAATCCTCCAAGCTATCCAAATATCCACTTGCAGATTCCACAAAAAGAGTGTTTCAAAACTGCTCTCTATCAATGGCAAAGTTCAACTCTGTTAGTTGAGGACACATATCACCAACAAGTTTCTGAGAATGCTTCTGTCTATTTTTTATGGGAAGATATTTCCTTTTTCAGCGTAGGTGTCAAGGCGATCGAAATGTCCACTTCCACAAACTACAAAAAGAGTGTTTCAAACCTGCTCTATGAAAGGCCATGTTCATCTCTATGAGTTGAATGGAAATATCCGAAAGAAATTTCTGGGAATGCTGCTGTCTAATTTTTATACGAATTCCCGCTTCCAACGAAATCCTCAAAGCAATCCAAATATCCACTTGCAGAATCCACAAAAAGAGTGTTTCAAAACTGCGCTATCAATAGAAAGGTTCAACTCTTTTAGTTGAGTACACACATCACAAACAAGTTTCTGAGAATGCTTCTGTCTGGCTTTTATTGGAAGACGTTTCCTTTTCACCAAAGGCATCAAAGCGCTCCAAATGTCCACTTCCAGATTCTTCCAAAAGAGTGTTTGAAACGTGCTCAAAGTAAGGGAATGTTCAACTCTGTGACTTGAATGCAGATATCACCAAGTAGTTTCTAATAGTGCTTCTGTGTATACTTTAGATGAAGATATTCCCGTTTCCAACGATATCGTTAGACCTATCCAAATATCCACTTACAGTTTCTACAAAAAGAGTGTTTCCAAACTGCTGCATCAAAAGAAAGGTTCAACTCTGTTAGTTGAGGACACACATCACAAAGAAGTTTCTGAGAAAGCTTCTGTCTAGATTTTGTATGAAGATATTCCCTTTTCCAACGATATCGTTAAATCAACACAAATATCAATTTGCAGAATCCACAGAAATAGAGTTTCAAAGCTGCTCTGTAAAAAGAAAGGATCCACTCTGTTAGCTGAGTACACACATCACAAACTTGTTTCTGAGAATCCTTCTGTCTCGTTTTTATGGGAAGATATTTACTTTTCCACCGTAGGCATCAAAGCGCTCCAAATGTCCACATCCAGATACTCCAGAAAGAGTGTTTCAAACCTGCTCTATGAAAGGGAATCTTCAACTCTATGAGTTGAATGAAGACATCAGAAAGAAATTTCTGAGAATTCTGCTGTCTACCTTTTATTTGAATTCCCGCTTCCAACGAAATCCTCCAAGCTATCCAAATATCCACCTGCATTTTCCACAAAAAGAGCGTTTCAAAACTGCTCTATCAATAGAAATGTTCAACTCCTTTGGCTGGGTACACACATCACAAACAAGTTTCTGAGAATGCTTCTGTCTAGTTTTTATGGGTAGACATTCCCTTTTTCACCAAAGGAATCAAAGCGCTCCAAATGTCCACTTCCAGACACTACAAAAAGAGTGTTTCAAACGTGCTCTAAGAAAGCGAATGTTCAACTCTGTGACTTGAATGCAGATATCACAAAGTAGTTTCTGAGAGTGCTTCTGTCTAGATTTTAGATGATGATATTCCCGTTTCCAACAAAATCATTAGAGCTTCCAAATATCCACTTACAGTTTCTACAAAAAGAGTGCTTCCAAACTGCTGCATCAAAAGAGAGGTTCCACTCTGTTAGCTGAGTACACACATCACAAACTTGTTTCTCAGAATCCTTCTGTCTCGTTTTTATGGGAAGATATTTACTTTTTCACCGTAGGCATCAAAGCGCTCCAAATGTCCACATCCAGATACTCCAGAAAGAGTGTTTCAAACCTGCTCTATGAAAGGGAATGTTCAACTCTATGAGTTGAATGCAGACATCAGAAAGAAATTTCTGAGAATGCTGCTGTCTACCTTTTATTTGAATTCCCGCTTCCAACGAAATCCTCCAAGCTATCCAAATATCCACTTGCAGATTCCACAAAAAGAGTGTTTCAAAACTGCTCTCTATTAATGGCAAAGTTCAACTCTGTTAGTTGAGGACACATATCACCAACAAGTTTCTGAGAATGCTTCTGTCTATTTTTTATGGGAAGATATTTCCTTTTTCACCGTAGGCGTCAAGGCGATCGAAATGTCCACTTCCACAAACTACAAAAAGAGTGTTTCAAACCTGCTCTATGAAAGGCCATGTTCATCTCTATGAGTCGAATGGAAATATCCGAAAGAAATTTCTGGGAATGCTGCTGTCTAGTGTTTATACGAATTCCCGCTTCCAACGAAATCCTCAAAGCAATCCAAATATCCACTTGCAGAATCCACAAAAAGAGTGTTTCAAAACTGCTCTATCAATAGAAAGGTTCAACTCTTTTAGTTGAGTACACACATCACGAACAAGTTTCTGAGAATGCTTCTGTCTGGCTTTTATTGGAAGACGTTTCCCTTTTCACCAAAGGCATCAAAGCGCTCCAAATGTCCACTTCCAGATTCTTCCAAAAGAGTGTTTCAAACGTGCTCAAAGTAAGGGAATGTTCAACTCTGTGACTTGAATGCAGATATCACCAAGTAGTTTCTAATAGTGCTTCTGTCTAGATTTTAGATGATGATATTCCCGTTTCCAACGAAATCGTTAGAGCTATCCAAATATCCACTTACAGTTGCTACAAAAACAGTGTTTCCAAACTGCTGCATCAAAAGAAAGGTTCAACTCTGTTAGTTGAGGACACACGTCACAAAGAAGTTTGTGAGAATGCTTCTGTCTAGATTTTGTATGACGGTATTCCCTTTTCCAACGATATCGTTAAAGCAATCTAAATATCAATTTGCAGAATCCACAACAATAGAGTTTCAAAGCTGCTCTGTAAAAAGAAAGGTTCCACTCTGTTAGCTGAGTACACACATCACAAACTTGTTTCTGAGAATCCTGCTGTCTACCTTTTATTTGAATTCCCGCTTCCAACGAAATCCTCCAAGCTATCCAAATATCCACCTGCATTTTCCAGAAAAAGAGCGTTTCAAAACTGCTCTATCAATAGAAATGTTCAACTCCTTTGGCTGGGTACACACATCACAAACAAGTTTCTGAGAATGCTTCTGTCTAGTTTTTATGGGAAGACGTTCCCTTTTTCACCAAAGGCATCAAAGCGCTCCAAAAGTCCACTTCCAGACACTACAAAAAGAGTGTTTCCAACGTGCTCAAAGAAAGCGAATGTTCAACTCTGTGACTTGAATGCAGATATCACAAAGTAGTTTCTGAGAGGGCTTCTGTCTAGATTTTAGATGATGATATTCCCGTTTCCAACGAAATCATTAGAGCTATCCAAATATCCACTTACAGTTTCTACAAAAAGAGTGTTTCCAAACTGCTGCATCAAAAGAGAGGTTCCACTGTTAGCTGAGTACACACATCACAAACTTGTTTCTCAGAATCCTTCTTCAATTTTTTATGGGAAGACATTTCCTTTTTCACCGTAGGCCTCAAAGTGCTCCAAATGTCCACATCCAGATAGTACAGAAAGAGTGTTTCAAACCTGCTCTATTAAAGGGAATGTTCAACTCTATGAGTTGAATGCAAACATCACAAAGAAATTTCTGAGAATGCTGCTGTCTACCTTTTATTTGAATTCCCGCTTCCAACGAAATCCTCCAAGCTATCCAAATATCCACTTGCAGATTCGACAAAAAGAGTGTTTCAAAACTGCTCTCTATCAATGGCAAAGTTCAACTCTGTTAGTTGAGGACACATATCACCAACAAGTTTCTGAGAATGCTTCTGTCTATTTTTTATGGGAAGATATTTCCTTTTTCACCGTAGGCGTCAAGGCGATCGAAATGTCCACTTCCACAAACTACAAAAAGAGTGTTTCAAACCTGCTCTATGAAAGGCCATGTTCATCTCTATGAGTCGAATGGAAATATCCGAAAGAAATTTCTGGGAATGCTGCTGTCTAGTGTTTATACGAATTCCCGCTTCCAACGAAATCCTCAAAGCAATCTAAATATCCACTTGCAGAATCCACAAAAAGAGTGTTTCTAAACTGCTCTATCAATAGAAAGGTTCAACTCTTTTAGTTGAGTACACACATCACGAACAAGTTTCTGAGAATGCTTCTGTCTGGCTTTTATTGGAAGACGTTTCCTTTTCACCAAAGGCATCAATTCGCTCCAAATGTCCACTTCCAGATTCTTCCAAAAGAGTGTTTCAAACGTGCTCAAAGTAAGGGAATGTTCAACTCTGTGACTTGAATGCAGATATCACCAAGTAGTTTCTAATAGTGCTTCTGTCTAGATTTTAGATGATGATATTCCCGTTTCCAACGAAATCGTTAGAGCTATCCAAATATCCAGTTACAGTTTCTACAAAAAGAGTGTTTCCAAACTGCTGCATCAAAAGAAAGGTTCAACTCTGTTGGTTGAGGACACACATCAGAAAGAAGTTTGTGAGAATGCTTCTCTCTAGATTTTGTATGACGATATTCCCTTTTCCAACGATATCGTTAAAACAATCTAAATATAAATTTGCAGAATCCACAAAAATACAGTTTCAAAGCTGCTCTGTAAAAAGAAAGGTTCCACTCTTTTGGCTGAGTACACACATCAAAAACTTGTTTCTGAGAATCCTTCTGTCTCGTTTTTATGGGAAGATATTTACTTTTCCACCGTAGGCATCAAAGCGCTCCAAATGTCCACATCCGGATACTCCAGAACGAGTGTTTCAAACCTGCTCTATGAAAGGGAATCTTCAACTCTATGAGTTGAATGCAGACATCAGAAAGAAATTTCTGAGAATGCTGCTGTCTACCTTTTATTTGAATTCCCGCTTCCAACGAAATCCTCCAAGCTATCCAAATATCCACTTGCATTTTCCACAAAAAGAGTGTTTCAAAACTGCTCTATCAATAGAAATGTTCAACTCCTTTGGCTGGGTACACACATCACAAACAAGTTTCTGAGAATGCTTTCTGTCTAGTTTTTATGGGAAGACGTTCCCTTTTTCACCAAAGGCATCAAAGCGCTCCAAATGTCCACTTCCAGACACTACAAAAAGAGTGTTTCCAACGTGCCCTAAGAAAGCGAATGTTCAACTCTGTGACTTGAATGCAGATATCACAAAGTAGTTTCTGAGAGGGCTTCTGTCTAGATTTTAGATGATGATATTCCCGTTTCCAACGAAATCATTAGAGATATCCAAATATCCACTTACAGTTTCTACAAAAAGAGTGTTTCCAAACTGCTGCATCAAAAGAGAGGTTCCACTCTGTTAGCTGAGTACACACATCACAAACTTGTTTCTCAGAATCCTTCTGTCTCGTTTTTATGGGAAGATATTTACTTTTTCATCGTAGGCCTCAAAGCGCTCCAAATGTCCACATCCAGATACTACAGAAAGAGTATTTCAAACCTGCTCTATGAAAGGGAATGTTCAACTCTATGAGTTGAATGCAGACATCAGAAAGAAATTTCTGAGAATGCTGCTGTCTACCTTTTATTTGAATTCCCGCTTCCAACGAAATCCTCCAAGCTATCCAAACATCCACTTGCATTTTCCACAAAAAGAGTGTTTCAAAACTGCTCTATCAATAGAAACGTTCAAGTCCTTTAGCTGGGTACACACATCACAAACAAGTTTCTGAGAATGCTTTCTGTCTATTTTTTATGGGAAGATATTTCCTTTTTCACCGTAGGCGTCAAGGCGATCGAAATGTCCACTTCCACAAACTACAAAAAGAGTGTTTCAAACCTGCTCTATGAAAGGCCATGTTCATCTCTATGAGTTGAATGGAAATATCCGAAAGAAATTTCTGGGAATGCTGCTGTCTAGTTTTTATACGAATTCCCGCTTCCAACGAAATCCTCAAAGCAATCCAAATATCCACTTGCAGAATCCACAAAAAGAGTGTTTCAAAACTGCTCTATCAATAGAAAGGTTCAACTCTTTTAGTTGAGTACACACTTCACAAACAAGTTTCTGAGAATGCTTCTGTCTGGCTTTTATTGGAATACGTTTCCTTTTCACCAAAGGCATCAAAGCGCTCCAAATGTCCACTTCCAGATTCTTCCAAAAGAGTGTTGCAAACGTGCTCAATGTAAGGGAATGTTCAACTCTGTGACTTGAATGCAGATATCACCAAGTAGTTTCTAATAGTGCTTCTGTCTAGATTTTAGATGATGATATTCCCGTTTCCAACGAAATCGTTAGAGCTATCCAAATATCCACTTACAGTTTCTACAAAAAGAGTGTTTCCAAACTGCTGCATCAAAAGAAAGGTTCAACTACTGTTAGTTGAGGACACACATCACAAAGAAGTTTGTGAGAATGCTTCTGTCTAGATTTTGAATGAAGATATTCCCTTTTCCATCGATATCGTTAAATCAACCCAAATATCAATTTGCAGAATCCACAGAAATAGAGTTTCAAAGCTGCTCTGTAAAAAGAAAGGATCCACTCTGTTAGCTGAGTACACACATCACAAACTTGTTTCTGAGAATCCTTCTGTCTCGGTTTTTATGGGAAGATATTTACTTTTTCACTGTAGGCATCAAAGCTGCTCCAAATGTCCACATCCAGATACTCCAGAAAGAGTGTTTCAAACCTGCTCTATGAAAGGGAATCTTCAACTCTATGAGTTGAATGCAGACATCAGAAAGAAATTTCTGAGAATGCTGCTGTCTACCTTTTATTTGAATTCCCGCTTCCAACGAAATCCTCCAGGCTATCCAAATATCCACTTGCAGATTCAACAAAAAGAGTGTTTCAAAACTGCTCTCTATCAATGGCAAAGTTCAACTCTGTTAGTTGAGGACACATATCACCAACAAGTTTCTGAGAATGCTTCTGTCTAGTTTTTATGGGTAGACATTCCCTTTTTCACCAAAGGAATCAAAGCGCTCCAAATGTCCACTTCCAGACACTACAAAAAGAGTGTTTCAAACGTGCTCTAAGAAAGGGAATGTTCAACTCTGTGACTTGAATGCAGATATCACACAGTAGTTTCTGAGAGTGCTTCTGTCTAGATTTTAGATGATGATATTCCCGTTTCCAACGAAATCATTAGAGCTATCCAAATATCCACTTACAGTTTCTACAAAAAGAGTGTTTCCAAACTGCTGCATCAAAAGAGAGGTTCCACTCTGTTAGCTGAGTACACACATCACAAACTTGTTTCTCAGAATCCTTCTGTCTCGTTTTTATGGGAAGATTATACTTTTTCACCATAGGCATCAAAGCGCTCCAAATGTCCACATCCAGATACTCCAGAAAGAGTGTTTCAAACCTGCTCTATGAAAGGGAATCTTCAACTCTATGAGTTGAATGCAGACATCAGAAAGAAATTTCTGAGAATGCTGCTGTCTAGTTTTTATACGAATTCCCGCTTCCAACGAAATCCTCCAAGCTATCCAAATATCCACTTGCAGATTCCACAAAAAGAGTGTTTCAAAACTGCTCTCTATCAATGGCAAAGTTCAACTCTGTTAGTTGAGGACACATATCACCAACAAGTTTCTGAGAATGCTCTGTCTATTTTTTATGGGAAGATATTTCCTTTTTCAGCGTAGGCGTCAAGGCGATCGAAATGTCCACTTCCACAAACTACAAAAAGAGTGTTTCAAACCTGCTCTATGAAAGGCCATGTTCATCCTGCTATGAGTTGAATGGAAATATCCGAAAGAAATTTCCTGGGAATGCTGGCTGTCTAGTGTTTATACGAATTCCCGCTTCCAACGAAATCCTCAAAGCAATCCAAATATCCACTTGCAGAATCCACAAAAAGAGTGTTTCAAAACTGCTCTATCAATAGAAAGGTTCAACTCTTTTAGTTGAGTACACACATCACCAACAAGTTTCTGAGAATGCTTCTGTCTGGCTTTTATTGGAAGACGTTTCCTTTTCACCAAAGGCATCAAAGCGCTCCAAATGTCCACTTCCAGATTCTTCCAAAAGAGTGTTTCAAACGTGCTCAAAGTAAGGGAATGTTCAACTCTGTGACTTGAATGCAGATATCACCAAGTAGTTTCTAATAGTGCTTCTGTCTACATTTTAGATGATGATATTCCCGTTTCCAACGAAATCGTTAGAGCTAAGCAAATATCCAGTTACAGTTTCTACCAAAAGGGTGTTTCCAAATTGCTGCATCAAAAGAAAGGTTCAACTCTGTTAGTTGAGGACACACATCACAAAGAAGTTTGTGAGAATGCTTCTGTCTAGATTTTAGATGATGATATTCCCGTTTCCAACGAAATCATTAGAGCTATCCAAATATCCACTTACAGTTTCTACAAAAAGTGTGTTTCCAAACTGCTGCATCCAAAGAGAGGTTCCACTCTGTTAGCTGAGTACACACATCACAAACTTGTTTCTCAGAATCCTCTGTCTCGTTTTTCTGGGAAGATATTTACTTTTTCACCGTAGGCATCAAAGCGCTCCAAATGTCCACATCCAGATACTCCAGAAAGAGTGTTTCAAACCTGCTCCTATGAAAGGGAATCTTCAACTCTATGAGTTGAATGCAGACATCAGAAAGAAATTTCTGAGAATGCTGGCTGTCTACCTTTTATTTGAATTCCCGCTTCCAACGAAATCCTCCAAGCTATCCAAATATCCACTTGCATTTTCCACAAAAAGAGTGTTTCAAAACTGCTCTATCAATAGAAATGTTCAACTCCTTTGGCTGGGTACACACATCACAAACAAGTTTCTGAGAATGCTTCTGTCTAGTTTTTATGGGAAGACATTTCCTTTTTCACCAAAGGCATCAAAGCGCTCCAAATGTCCACTTCCAGATACTACAAAAAGTGTGTTTCAAAAGTGCTGTAAGAAAGCGAATGTTCAACTCTGTGACTTGAATGCAGATATCACAAAGTAGTTTCTGAGAGTGCTTCTGTCTAGATTTTAGATGATGATATTCCCGTTTCCAACGAAGTCATTAGAGCTATCCAAATGTGCACTTACAGTTTCTACAAAAAGAGTGTTTCCAAACTGCTGTGTCAAAAGAGAGGTTCCACTCTGTTAGCTGAGTACACACATCACAAACTTGTTTCTGAGAATCCTTCTGTCTCGTTTTTATGGGAAGATATTTACCTTTTCACCGTAGGCATCAAAGCGCTACAAATGTCCACATCCAGATACTCCAGAAAGAGTGTTTCAAACCTGCTCTATGAAAGGGAATCTTCAACTCTATGAGTTGAATGCAGACATCAGAAAGAAATTTCTGAGAATGCTGCTGTCTACCTTTTATTTGAATTCCCGCTTCCAACGAAATCCTCCAAGCTATCCAAATATCCACCTGCAGATTCCACAAAAAGAGTGTTTCAAAACTGCTCTATCAATAGAAATGTTCAAGTCCTTTAGCTGGGTACACACATCACAAACAAGTTTCTGAGAATGCTTCTGTCTATTTTTTATGGGAAGATATTTCCTTTTTCACCGTAGGCGTCAAGGCGATCGAAATGTCCACTTCCACAAACTACAAAAAGAGTGTTTCAAACCTGCTCTATGAAAGGCCATGTTCATCTCTATGAGTTGAATGGAAATATCCGAAAGAAATTTCTGGGAATGCTGCTGTCTAGTTTTTATACGAATTCCCGCTTCCAACGAAATCCTCAAAGCAATCCAAATATCCACTTGCAGAATCCACAAAAAGAGTGTTTCAAAACTGCTCTATTAATAGAAAGGTTCAACTCTTTTAGTTGAGTACACACATCACAAACAAGTTTCTGAGAATGCTTCTGTCTGGCTTTTATTGGAAGACGTTTCCTTTTCACCAAAGGCATCAAAGCGCTCCAAATGTCCACTTCCAGATTCTTCCAAAAGAGTGTTTGAAACGTGCTCAAAGTAAGGGAATGTTCAACTCTGTGACTTGAATGCAGATATCACCAAGTAGTTTCTAATAGTGCTCCTGTCTAGATTTTAGATGATGATATTCCCGTTTCCAACGAAATCGTTAGAGCTATCCAAATATCCAGTTACAGTTTCTACCAAAAGGGTGTTTCCAAACTGCTGCATCAAAAGAAAGGTTCAACTCTGTTAGTTGAGGACACACATCACAAAGAAGTTTGTGAGAATGCTTCTGTCTAGATTTTGTATGACGATATTCCCTTTTCCAACGATATCGTTAAAGCAATCTAAATATCCATTTGCAGAATCCACAAAAATAGAGTTTCAAAGCTGCTCTGTAAAAAGAAAGGTTCCACTCTGTTAGCTGAGTACACACATCACAAACTTGTTTCTGAGAATCCTTCTGTCTCGTTTTTATGGGAAGATATTTACTTTTTCACCGTAGGCATCAAAGGGCTCCAAATGTCCACATCCAGATACTCCAGAAAGAGTGTTTCAAACCTGCTCTATGAAAGGGAATGTTCAACTCTATGAGTTGAATGCAGACATCAGAAAGAAATTTCTGAGAATGCTGCTGTCTACCTTTTATTTGAATTCCCGCTTCCAACGAAATCCTCCAAGCTATCCAAATATCCACCTGCATTTTCCACAAAAAGAGTGTTTCAAAACTGCTCTATCAATAGAAATGTTCAACTCCTTTGGCTGGGTACACACATCACAAACAAGTTTCTGAGAATGCTTCTGTCTAGTTTTTATGGGTAGACATTCCCTTTTTCACCAAAGGAATCAAAGCGCTCCAAAAGTCCACTTCCAGACACTACAAAAAGAGTGTTTCAAACGTGCTCTAAGAAAGCGAATGTTCAACTCTGTGACTTGAATGCAGATATCACAAAGTAGTTTCTGAGAGTGCTTCTGTCTAGATTTTAGATGATGATATTCCCGTTTCCAACGAAATCATTAGAGCTATCCAAATATCCACTTACAGTTTCTACAAAAAGAGTGTTTCCAAACTGCTGCATCAAAGGAGAGGTTCCAATCTGTTAGCTGAGTACACACATCACAAACTTGTTTCTCAGAATCCTTCTGTCTCGTTTTTATGGGAAGATATTTACTTTCTCACCGTAGGCATCAAAGCGCTCCAAATGTCCACATCCAGATACTCCAGAAAGAGTGTTTCAAACCTGCTCTATGAAAGGGAATCTTCAACTCTATGAGTTGAATGCAGACATCAGAAAGAAATTTCTGAGAATGCTGCTGTCTACCTTTTATTTGAATTCCCGCTTCCAACGAAATCCTCCAAGCTATCCAAATATCCACTTGCAGATTCCACAAAAAGAGTGTTTCAAAACTGCTCTCTATCAATGGCAAAGTTCAACTCTGTTAGTTGAGGACACATATCACCAACAAGTTTCTGAGAATGCTTCTGTCTATTTTTTATGGGAAGATATTTCCTTTATCACCGTAGGCGTCAAGGCGATCGAAATGTCCACTTCCACAAACTACAAAAAGAGTGTTTCAAACCTGCTCTATGAAAGCCCATGTTCATCTCTATGAGTTGAATGGAAATATCCGAAAGAAATTTCTGGGAATGCTGCTGTCTAGTGTTTATACGAATTCCCGCTTCCAACGAAATCCTCAAAGCAATCCAAATATCCACTTGCAGAATCCACAAAAAGAGTGTTTCAAAACTGCTCTATCAATAGAAAGGTTCAACTCTTTTAGTTGAGTACACACATCACGAACAAGTTTCTGAGAATGCTTCTGTCTGGCTTTTATTGGAAGACGTTTCCTTTTCACCAAAGGCATCAAAGCGCTCCAAATGTCCACTTCCAGATACTTCCAAAAGAGTGTTTCAAACGTGCTCAAAGTAAGGGAATGTTCAACTCTGTGACTTGAATGCAGATATCACCAAGTAGTTTCTAATAGTGCTTCTGTCTAGATTTTAGATGATGATATTCCCGTTTCCAACGAAATCGTTAGAGCTATCCAAATATCCACTTACAGTTGCTACAAAAACAGTGTTTCCAAACTGCTGCATCAAAAGAAAGGTTCAACTCTGTTAGTTGAGGACACACGTCACAAAGAAGTTTGTGAGAATGCTTCTGTCTAGATTTTGTATGAGGATATTCCCTTTTCCAACGATATCGTTAAAGCAATCTAAATATCAATTTGCAGAATCCACAAAAATAGACTTTCAAAGCTGCTCTGTAAAAAGAAAGGTTCCACTCCGTTAGCTGAGTACACACATCACAAACTTGTTTCTCAGAATCCTTCTGTCTCGTTTTTATGGGAAGATATTTACTTTTCCACCGTAGGCATCAAAGCGCTCCAAATGTCCACATCCAGATACTCCAGAACGAGTGTTTCAAACCTGCTCTATGAAAGGGAATCTTCAACTCTATGAGTTGAATGCAGACATCAGAAAGAAATTTCTGAGAATGCTGCTGTCTACCTTTTATTTGAATTCCCGCTTCCAACGAAATCCACCAAGCTATCCAAATATCCACCTGCATTTTCCACAAAAAGAGTGTTTCAAACCTGCTCTATCAATAGAAATGTTCAACTCCTTTGGCTGGGTACACACATCACAAACAAGTTTCTGAGAATGCTTCTGTCTAGTTTTTATGGGTAGACATTCCCTTTTTCACCAAAGGAATCAAAGCGCTCCAAATGTCCACTTCCAGACACTACAAAAAGAGTGTTTCCAACGTGCTCTAAGAAAGCGAATGTTCAACTCTGTGACTTGAATGCAGATATCACAAAGTAGTTTCTGAGAGGGCTTCTGTCTAGATTTTAGATGATGATATTCCCGTTTCCAACGAAATCATTAGAGCTATCCAAATATCCACTTACAGTTTCTACAAAAAGAGTGTTTCCAAACTGCTGCATCAAAAGAGAGGCTCCACTCTGTTAGCTGAGTACACACATCACAAACTTGTTTCTCAGAATCCTTCTGTCTCGTTTTTATGGGAAGATATTTACTTTTTCACCGTAGGCATCAAAGCGCTCCAAATGTCCACATCCAGATACTCCAGAAAGAGTGTTTCAAACCTGCTCTATGAAAGGGAATGTTCAACTCTATGAGTTGAATGCAGACATCAGAAAGAAATTTCTGAGACTGCTGCTGTCTACCTTTTATTTGAATTCCCGCTTCCAACGAAATCCTCCAAGCTATCCAAATATCCACTTGCAGATTCCACAAAAAGAGTGTTTCAAAACTGCTCTCTATCAATGGCAAAGTTCAACTCTGTTAGTTAAGGACACATATCACCAACAAGTTTCTGAGAATGCTTCTGTCTATTTTTTATGGGAAGATATTTCCTTTTTCACCGTAGGCGTCAAGGCGATCGAAATGTCCACTTCCACAAACTACAAAAAGAGTGTTTCAAACCTGCTCTATGAACGGCCATGTTCATCTCTATGAGTCGAATGGAAATATCCGAAAGAAATTTCTGGGAATGCTGCTGTCTAGTTTTTATACGAATTCCCGCTTCCAACGAAATCCTCAAAGCAATCCAAATATCCAATTGCAGAATCCACAAAAAGAGTGTTTCAAAACTGCTCTATCAATAGAAAGGTTCAACTCTTTTAGTTGAGTACACACATCACAAACAAGTTTCTGAGAATGCTTCTGTCTGGCTTTTATTGGAAGACGTTTCCTTTTCACCAAAGGCATCAAAGCGCTCCAAATGTCCACTTCCAGATTCTTCCAAAAGAGTGTTTCAAACGTGCTCAAAGTAAGGGAATGTTCAACTCTTTGACTTGAATGCAGATATCACCAAGTAGTTTCTAATAGTGCTTCTGTCTAGATTTTAGATGATGATATTCCCGTTTCCAACGAAATCGTTAGAGCTATCCAAATATCCACTTACAGTTGCTACAAAAACAGTGTTTCCAAACTGCTGCATCAAAAGAAAGGTTCAACTCTGTTAGTTGAGGACACACGTCACAAAGAAGTTTGTGAGAATGCTTCTGTCTAGATTTTGTATGACGATATTCCCTTTTCCAACGATATCGTTAAAGCAATCTAAATATCAATTTGCAGAATCCACAAAAATAGAGTTTCAAAGCTGCTCTGTAAAAAGAAAGGTTCCACTCTGTTAGCTGAGTACACACATCACAAACTTGATTCTGAGAATCCTTCTGTCTCGTTTTTATGGGAAGATATTTACTTTTTCACCGTAGGCATCAAAGCGCTCCAAATGTCCACATCCAGATACTCCAGAAAGAGTGTTTCAAACCTGCTCTATGAAAGGGAATCTTCAACTCTATGAGTTGAATGCAGACATCAGAAAGAAATTTCTGAGAATGCTGCTGTGTACCTTTTATTTGAATTCCCGCTTCCAACGAAATCCTCCAAGCTATCCAAATATCCACCTGCATTTTCCACAACAAGAGTGTTTCAAAACTGCTCTATCAATAGAAATGTTCAACTCCTTTGGCTGGGTACACACATCACAAACAAGTTTCTGAGAATGCTTCTGTCTAGTTTTTATGGGAAGACGTTCTCTTTTTCACCAAAGGCATCAAAGCGCTCCAAATGTCCACTTCCAGACACTACAAAAAGAGTGTTTCCAACGTGCTCTAAGAAAGCGAATATTCAACTCTGTGACTTGAATGCAGATATCACAAAGTAGTTTCTGAGAGGGCTTCTGTCTAGATTTTAGATGATGATATTCCCGTTTCCAACAAAATCATTAGAGCTATCCAAATATCCACTTACAGTTTCTACAAAAAGAGTGTTTCCAAACTGCTGCATCAAAAGAGAGGTTCCACTCTGTTAGCTGAGTACACACATCACAAACTTGTTTCTCAGAATCCTTCTGTCTCGTTTTTATGGGAAGATATTTACTTTTTCACCGTAGGCATCAAAGCGCTCCAAATGTCCACATCCAGATACTACAGAAAGAGTATTTCAAACCTGCTCTATGAAAGGGAATGTTCAACTCTATGAGTTGAATGCAGACATCAGAAAGAAATTTCTGAGAATGCTGGCTGTCTACCTTTTATTTGAATTCCCGCTTCCAACGAAATCCTCCAAGCTATCCAAATATCCACTTGCAGATTCCACAAAAAGAGTGTTTCAAAACTGCTCTCTATCAATGGCAAAGTTCAACTCTGTTAGTTGAGGACACATATCACCAACAAGTTTCTGAGAATGCTCTGTCTATTTTTTATGGGAAGATATTTCCTTTTTCACCGTAGGCGTCAAGGCGATCGAAATGTCCACTTCCACAAACTACAAAAAGAGTGTTTCAAACCTGCTCTATGAAAGGCCATGTTCATCTCTATGAGTCGAATGGAAATATCCGAAAGAAATTTCTGGGAATGCTGGCTGTCTAGTTTTTATACGAATTCCCGCTTACAACGAAATCCTCAAAGCAATCCAAATATCCACTTGCAGAATCCACAAAAAGAGTGTTTCAAAACTGCTCTATCAATAGAAAGGTTCAACTCTTTTAGTTGAGTACACACATCACGAACAAGTTTCTGAGAATGCTTCTGTCTGGCTTTTATTGGAAGACGTTTCCTTTTCACCAAAGGCATCAAAGCGCTCCAAATGTCCACTTCCAGATTCTTCCAAAAGAGTGTTTGAAACGTGCTCAAAGTAAGGGAATGTTCAACTCTGTGACTTGAATGCAGATATCACCAAGTAGTTTCTAATAGTGCTTCTGTCTAAATTTTAGATGACGATATTCCCGTTTCCAACGAAATCGTTACAGCTATCCAATTATCCACTTACAGTTTCTACAAAAAGAGTGTTTCCAAACTGCTGCATCAAAAGAAAGGTTCAACTCTGTTAGTTGAGGACACACATCACAAAGAAGTTTGTGAGAATGCTTCTGTGTAGATTTTAGATGATGATATTCCCGTTTCCAACGAAATCATTAGAGCTATCCAAATATCCACTTACAGTTTCTACAAAAAGAGTGTTTCCAAACTGCTGCATCAAAAGAGAGGTTCCACTCTGTTAGCTGAGTACACACATCACAAACTTGTTTCTCAGAATCCTTGTCTGTCTCGTTTTTATGGGAGGATATTTACTTTTTCACCGTAGGCATCAAAGCCCTCCAAATGTCCACATCCAGATACTCCAGAAAGAGTGTTTCAAACCTGCTCTATGAAAGGGAATCTTCAACTCTATGAGTTGAATGCAGACATCAGAAAGAAATTTCTGAGAATGCTGCTGTCTACCTTTTATTTGAATTCCCGCTTCCAACGAAATCCTCCAAGCTATCCAAATATCCACTTGCATTTTCCACAAAAAGAGTGTTTCAAAACTGCTCTATCAATAGAAATGTTCAACTCCTTTAGCTGGGTACACACATCACAAACAAGTTTCTGAGAATGCTTCTGTCTAGTTTTTATGGGAAGACATTCCCTTTTTTACCAAAGGCATCAAAGCGCTCCAAATGTCCACTTCCAGACACTACAAAAAGAGTGTTTCAAACGTGCTCTAAGAAAGCGAATGTTCAACTCTGTGACTTGAATGCAGATATCACAAAGTAGTTTCTGAGAGGGCTTCTGTCTAGATTTTAGATGATGATATTCCCGTTTCCAACGAAATCATTAGAGCTATCCAAATATCCACTTACAGTTTCTACAAAAAGAGTGTTTCCAAACTGCTGCATCAAAAGAGAGGTTCCACTCTGTTAGCTGAGTACACACAACACAAACTTGTTTCTCAGAATCCTTCTGTCTCGTTTTTATGGGAAGATATTTACTTTCTCACCGTAGGCCTCAAAGCGCTCCAAATGTCCACATCCAGATACTCCAGAAAGAGTGTTTCAAACCTGCTCTATGAAAGGGAATCTTCAACTCTATGAGCTGAATCAGACATCAGAAAGAAATTTCTGAGAATGCTGCTGTCTACCTTTTATTTGAATTCCCGCTTCCAACGAAATCCTCCAAGCTATCCAAATATCCACTTGCAGATTCCACAAAAAGAGTGTTTCAAAACTGCTCTCTATCAATGGCAAAGTTCAACTCTGTTAGTTGAGGACACATATCACCAACAAGTTTCTGAGAATGCTTCTGTCTATTTTTTATGGGAAGATATTTCCTTTTTCACCGTAGGCGTCAAGGCGATCGAAATGTCCACTTCCACAAACTACAAAAAGAGTGTTTCAAACCTGCTCTATGAAAGGCCATGTTCATCTCTATGAGTCGAATGGGAATTATCCGAAAGAAATTTCTGGGAATGCTGCTGTCTAGTTTTTATACGAATTGCCGCTTCCAACGAAATCCTCAAAGCAATCCAAATATCCACTTGCAGAATCCACAAAAAGAGTGTTTCAAAACTGCTCTATCAATAGAAAGGTTCAACTCTTTTAGTTGAGTACACACATCACAAACAAGTTTACTGAGAATGCTCTGTCTGGCTTTTATTGGAAGACGTTTCCTTTTCACCAAAGGCATCAAAGCGCTCCAAATGTCCACTTCCAGATTCTTCCAAAAGAGTGTTTCAAACGTGCTCGAAGTAAGGGAATGTTCAACTCTGTGACTTGAATGCAGATATCACCAAGTAGTTTCTAATAGTGCTTCTGTCTAGATTTTAGATGATGATATTCCCGTTTCCAACGAAATCGTTAGAGCTATCCAAATATCCACTTACAGTTTCTACAAAAAGAGTGTTTCCAAACTGCTGCATCAAAAGAAAGGTTCAACTCTGTTAGTTGAGGACACACATCACAAAGAAGTTTGTGAGAATGCTTCTGTCTAGATTTTGTATGACCATATTCCCTTTTCCAGCGATATCATTAAAGCAATCTAAATATCCATTTGCAGAATCCACAAAAATAGAGTTTCAAAGCTGCTCTGTAAAAAGAAAGGTTCCACTCTGTTAGCTGAGTACACACATCACAAACTTGTTTCTGAGAATCCTTCTGTCTCGTTTTTATGGGAAGATATTTACTTTTTCACCGTAGGCATCAAAGCGCTCCAAATGTCCACATCCAGATACTCCAGAAAGAGTGTTTCAAACCTGCTCTATGAAAGGGAATCTTGAACTCTATGAGTTGAATGCAGACATCAGAAAGAAATTTCTGAGAATGCTGCTGTCTACCTTTTATTTGAATTCCCGCTTCCAACGAAATCCTCCAAGCTATCCAAATATCCACCTGCATTTTCCACAAAAAGAGCGTTTCAAAACTGCTCTATCAATAGAAATGTTCAACTCCTTTGGCTGGGTACACACATCACAAACAAGTTTCTGAGAATGCTTCTGTCTACTTTTTATGGGAAGACGTTCCCTTTTTCACCAAAGGCATCAAAGTGCTCCAAATGTCCACTTCCAGACACTACAAAAAGAGTGTTTCCAACGTGCTCTAAGAAAGCGAATGTTCAACTCTGTTACTTGAATGCAGATATCACAAAGTAGTTTCTGAGAGGGCTTCTGTCTAGATTTTAGATGATGATATTCCCGTTTCCAACGAAATCATTAGAGCTATCCAAATATCCACATACAGTTTCTACAAAAAGAGTGTTTCCAAACTGCTGCATCAAAAGACAGGTTCCACTCTGTTAGCTGAGTACACACATCACAAACTTGTTTCTCAGAATCCTGCTGTCTACCTTTTATTTGAATTCCCGCTTCCAACGAAATCCTCCAAGCTATTCAAATATCCACTTGCATTTTCCACAAAAAGAGTGTTTCAAAACTGCTCTATCAATAGAAACGTTCAACTCCTTTAGCTGGGTACACACATCACAAACAAGTTTCTGAGAATGCTTCTGTCTATTTTTTATGGGAAGATATTTCCTTTTTCACCGTAGGCGTCAAGGCGATCGAAATGTCCACTTCCACAAACTACAAAAAGAGTGTTTCAATATGAAAGGCCATGTTCATCTCTATGAGTTGAATGGAAATATCCGAAAGAAATTTCTGGGAATGCTGCTGTCTAGTGTTTATACGAATTCCCGCTTCCAACGAAATCCTCAAGGCAATCCAAATATCCACTTGCAGAATCCACAAAAAGAGGGTTTCAAAACTGCTCTATCAATAGAAAGGTTCAACTCTTTTAGTTGAGTACACACATCACAAACAAGTTTCTGAGAATGCTTCTGTCTGGCTTTTATTGGAAGACGTTTCCTTTTCACCAAAGGCATCAAAGCGCTCCAAATGTCCACTTCCAGATTCTTCCAAAAGAGTGTTTCAAACGTGCTCAAAGTAAGGGAATGTTCAACTCTTTGACTTGAATGCAGATATCACCAAGTAGTTTCTAATAGTGCTTCTGTCTAGATTTTAGATGATGATATTCCCGTTTCCAACGAAATCGTTAGAGCTATCCAAATATCCACTTACAGTTTCTACAAAAAGAGTGTTTCCAAACTGCTGCATCAAAAGAAAGGTTCAACTCTGTTAGTTGAGGACACACATCACAAAGAAGTTTGTGAGAATGCTTCTGTCCAGATTTTGTATGACGATATTCCCTTTTCCAACGATATCGTTAAAGCAATCTAAATATCCATTTGCAGAATCCACAAAAATAGAGTTTCAAAGCTGCTCTGTAAAAAGAATGGTTCCACTCTGTTAGCTGAGTACACACATCACAAACTTGTTTCTGAGAATCCTTCTGTCTCGTTTTTATGGGAAGATATTTACTTTTTCACCTTAGGCATCAAAGCGCTCCAAATGTCCACATCCAGATACTCCAGAAAGAGTGTTTCAAACCTGCTCTATGAAAGGGAATCTTCAACTCTATGAGTTGAATGCAGACATCAGAAAGAAATTTCTGAGAATGCTGTTGTCTACCTTTTATTTGAAATCCCGCTTCCAACGAAATCCTCCAAGCTATCCAAATATCCACTTGCATTTTCCACAAAAAGAGTGTTTCAAAACTGCTCTATCAATAGAAATGTTCAACTCCTTTAGCTGGGTACACACATCACAAACAAGTTTCTGAGAATGCTTCTGTCTAGTTTTTATGGGAAGACGTTCCCTTTTTCACCAAAGGCATCAAAGCGCTCCAAATGTCCACTTCCAGACACTACAAAAAGAGTGTTTCAAACGTGCTCTAAGAAAGCAAATGTTCAACTCTGTGACTTGAATGCAGATATCACAAAGTAGTTTCTGAGAGTGCTTCTGTCTAGATTTTAGATGATGATATTCCCGTTTCCAACGAAATCATTAGAGCTATCCAAATATCCACTTACAGTTTCCACAAAAAGAGTGTTTCCAAACTGCTGCATCAAAAGAGAGGTTCCACTCTGTTAGCTGAGTACACACATCACAAACTTGTTTCTGAGAATCCTTCTGTCTCGTTTTTATGGGAAGATATTTACTTTTTCACCGTAGGCATCAAAGCGCTCCAAATGTCCACATCCAGATACTCCAGAACGAGTGTTTCAAACCTGCTCTATGAAAGGGAATGTTCAACTCTATGAGTTGAATGCAGACATCAGAAAGAAATTTCTGAGAATGCTGCTGTCTACCTTTTATTTGAATTCCCGCTTCCAACGAAATCCTCCAAGCTATCCAAATATCCACTTGCAGATTCAGGAAAAAGAGTGTTTCAAAACTGCTCTCTATCAATGGCAAAGTTCAACTCTGTTAGTTGAGGACACATATCACCAACAAGTTTCTGAGAATGCTTCTGTCTATTTTTTATGGGAAGATATTTCCTTTTTCACCGTAGGCGTCAAGGCGATCGAAATGTCCACTTCCACAAACTACAAAAAGAGTGTTTCAAACCTGCTCTATGAAAGGCCATGTTCATCTCTATGAGTCGAATGGAAATATCCGAAAGAAATTTCTGGGAATGCTGCTGTCTAGTTTTTATATGAATTCCCGCTTCCAACGAAAGCCTCAAAGCAATCCAAATATCCACTTGCAGAATCCACAAAAAGAGTGTTTCAAAACTGCTCTATCAATAGAAAGGTTCAACTCTTTTAGTTGAGTACACACATCACCAACAAGTTTCTGAGAATGCTTCTGTCTGGCTTTTATTGGAAGACGTTTCCTTTTCACCAAAGGCATCAAAGCGCTCCAAATGTCCACTTCCAGATTCTTCCAAAAGAGTGTTTCAAACGTGCTCAAAGTAAGGGAATGTTCAACTCTTTGACTTGAATGCAGATATCACCAAGTAGTTTCTAATAGTGCTTCTGTCTAGATTTTAGATGATGATATTCCCGTTTCCAACGAAATCGTTAGAGCTATCAAAATATCCACTTACAGTTTCTACCAAAAGGGTGTTTCCAAACTGCTGCATCAAAAGAAAGGTTCAACTCTGTTAGTTGAGGACACACATCACAAAGAAGTTTGTGAGAATGCTTCTGTCTAGATTTTGTATGACGATATTCCCTTTTCCAACGATATCGTTAAAGCAATCTAAATATCCATTTGCAGAATCCACAAAAATAGAGTTTCAAAGCTGCTCTGTAAAAAGAAAGGTTCCACTCTGTTAGCTGAGTACACACATCACAAACTTGTTTCTCAGAATCCTTCTGTCTCGTTTTTCTGGGAAGATATTTACTTTTTCACCGTAGGCATCAAAGCGCTCCAAATGTCCACATCCAGATACTCCAGAAAGAGTGTTTCAAACCTGCTCTATGAAAGGGAATCTTCAACTCTGTGAGTTGAATGCAGACATCAGAAAGAAATTTCTGAGAATGCTGCTGTCTACCTTTTATTTGAATTCCCGCTTCCAACGAAATCCTCCAAGCTATCCAAATATCCACTTGCATTTTCCACAAAAAGAGTGTTTCAAAACTGCTCTATCAATAGAAATGTTCAACTCCTTTAGCTGGGTACACACATCACAAACAAGTTTCTGAGAATGCTTCTGTCTACTTTTTATGGGAAGACATTCCCTTTTTCACCAAAGGCATCAAAGCGCTCCAAATGTCCACTTCCAGACACTACAAAAAGAGTGTTTCCAACGTGCTCTAAGAAAGCGAATGTTCAACTCTGTGACTTGAATGCAGATATCACAAAGTAGTTTCTGAGAGGGCTTCTTTCTAGATTTTAGATGATGATATTCCCGTTTCCAACGAAATCATTAGAGCTATCCAAATATCCACTTACAGTTTCTACAAAAAGAGTGTTTCCAAACTGCTGCATCAAAAGAGAGGTTCCACTCTGTTAGCTGAGTACACACATCACAAACTTGTTTCTCAGAATCCTTCTGTGTCGTTTTTATGGGAAGATATTTACTTTTTCACCGTAGGCATCAAAGCGCTCCAAATGTCCACATCCAGATACTCCAGAAAGAGTGTTTCAAACCTGCTCTATGAAAGGGAATCTTCAACTCTATGAGTTGAATGCAGACATCAGAAAGAAATTTCTGAGAATGCTGCTGTCTACTTTTTATTTGAATTCCCGCTTCCAACGAAATCCTCCAAGCTATCCAAATATCCACTTGCAGATTCCACAAAAAGAGTGTTTCAAAACTGCTCTCTATCAATGGCAAAGTTCAACTCTGTTAGTTGAGGACACATATCACCAACAAGTTTCTGAGAATGCTTCTGTCTATTTTTTATGGGAAGATATTTCCTTTTTCACCGTAGGCGTCAAGGCGATCGAAATGTCCACTTCCACAAACTACAAAAAGAGTGTTTCAAACCTGCTCTATGAAAGGCCATGTTCATCTCTATGAGTTGAATGGAAATATCCGAAAGAAATTTCTGGGAATGCTGCTGTCTAGTGTTTATACGAATTCCCGCTTCCAACGAAATCCTCAAAGCAATCCAAATATCCACTTGCAGAATCCACAAAAAGAGTGTTTCAAAACTGCGCTATCCAAAGAAAGGTTCAACTCTTTTAGTTGAGTACACACATCACGAACAAGTTTCTGAGAATGCTTCAGTCTGGCTTTTATTGGAAGACGTTTCCTTTTCACCAAAGGCATCAAAGCGCTCCAAATGTCCACTTCCAGATTCTTCCAAAAGAGTGTTTGAAACGTGCCCAAAGTAAGGGAATGTTCAACTCTGTGACTTGAATGCAGATATCACCAAGTAGTTTCTAATAGTGCTTCTGTCTAGATTTTAGATGATGATATTCCCGTTTCCAACGAAATCGTTAGAGCTATCCAAATATCCACTTACAGTTTCTACAAAAAGAGTGTTTCCAAACTGCTGCATCAAAAGAAAGGTTCAACTCTGTTAGTTGAGGACACACATCACAAAGAAGTTTGTGAGAATGCTTCTGTCTAGATTTTGTATGACCATATTCCCTTTTCCAGCGATATCATTAAAGCAATCTAAATATCCATTTGCAGAATCCACAAAAATAGAGTTTCAAAGCTGCTGCTGTAAAAAGAAAGGTTCCACTCTGTTAGCTGAGTACACACATCACAAACTTGTCTCTCAGAATCCTCTGTCTCGTTTTTATGGGAAGATATTTACTTTTTCACCGTAGGCATCAAAGCGCTCCAAATGTCCACATCCAGATACTCCAGAAAGAGTGTTTCAAACCTGCTCTATGAAAGGGAATCTTCAACTCTATGAGTTGAATGCAGACATCAGAAAGAAATTTCTGAGAATGCTGCTGTCTACCTTTTATTTGAATTCCCGCTTCCAACGAAATCCTCCAAGCTATCCAAATATCCACCTGCATTTTCCACAAAAAGAGTGTTTCAAAACTGCTCTATCAATAGAAATGTTCAACTCCTTTGGCTGGGTACACACATCACAAACAAGTTTCTGAGAATGCTTCTGTCTAGTTTTTATGGGTAGACATTCCCTTTTTCACCAAAGGAATCAAAGCCCTCCAAATGTCCACTTCCAGACACTACAAAAAGAGTGTTTCAAACGTGCTCTAAGAAAGCGAATGTTCAACTCTGTGACTTGAATGCAGATATCACAAAGTAGTTTCTGAGAGGGCTTCTGTCTAGATTTTAGATGATGATATTCCCGTTTCCAACGAAATCATTAGAGCTATCCAAATATCCACTTACAGTTTCTACAAAAAGAGTGTTTCCAAACTGCTGCATCAAAAGAGAGGTTCCACTCTGTTAGCTGAGTACACACATCACAAACTTGTTTCTCAGAATCCTTCTGTCTCGTTTTTATGGGAAGATATTTACTTTTTCACCGTAGGCATCAAAGCGCTCCAAATGTCCACATCCAGATACTACAGAAAGAGTATTTCAAACCTGCCCTATGAAAGGGAATGTTCAACTCTATGAGTTGAATGCAGAGATCAGAAAGAAATTTCTGAGAATGCTGCTGTCTACCCTTTATTTGAATTCCCGCTTCCAACGAAATCCTCCAAGCTATCCAAATATCCACTTGCAGATTCCACAAAAAGAGTGTTTCAAAACTGCTCTCTATCAATGGCAAAGTTCAACTCTGTTAGTTGAGGACACATATCACCAACAAGTTTCTGAGAATGCTTCTGTCTATTTTTTATGGGAAGATATTTCCTTTTTCACCGTAGGCGTCAAGGCGATCGAAATGTCCACTTCCACAAACTACAAAAAGAGTGTTTCAAACCTGCTCTATGAAAGGCCATGTTCATCTCTATGAGTCGAATGGAAATATCCGAAAGAAATTTCTGGGAATGCTGCTGTCTAGTGTTTATACGAATTCCCGCTTCCAACGAAATCCTCAACCAATCCAAATATCCACTTGCAGAATCCACAAAAAGAGTGTTTCAAAACTGCTCTATCAATAGAAAGGTTCAACTCTTTTAGTTGAGTACACACATCACAAACAAGTTTCTGAGAATGCTTCTGTCTGGCTTTTATTGGAAGACGTTTCCTTTTCACCAAAGGCATCAAAGCGCTCCAAATGTCCACTTCCAGATTCTTCCAAAAGAGTGTTTCAAACGTGCTCAAAGTAAGGGAATGTTCAACTCTGTGACTTGAATGCAGATATCACCAAGTAGTTTCTAATAGTGCTTCTGTCTAGATTTTAGATGATGATATTCCCGTTTCCAACGAAATCGTTAGAGCTAAGCAAATATCCAGTTACAGTTTCTACCAAAAGGGTGTTTCCAAATTGCTGCATCAAAAGAAAGGTTCAACTACTGTTAGTTGAGGACACACATCACAAAGAAGTTTGTGAGAATGCTTCTGTCTAGATTTTGTATGACGATATTCCCTTTTCCAATGATATCGTTAAAGCAATCTAAATATCAATTTGCAGAATCCACAAAAATAGAGTTTCAAAGCTGCTCTGTAAAAAGAAAGGTTCCACTCCGTTAGCTGAGTACACACATCACAAACTTGTTTCTCAGAATCCTGCTGTCTACCTTTTATTTGAACTCCCGCTTCCAACGAAATCCTCCAAGCTATCCAAATATCCACTTGCATTTTCCACAAAAAGAGTGCTTCAAAACTGCTCTATCAATAAATGTTCAACTCCTTTAGCTGGGTGCACACATCACAAACAAGTTTCTGAGAATGCTTCTGTCTGGTTTTTATGGGAAGACATTCCCTTTTTCACCAAAGGCATCAAAGCGCTCCAAATGTCCACTTCCAGACACTACAAAAAGAGTGTTTCCAACGTGCTCTAAGAAAGCGAATGTTCAACTCTGTGACTTGAATGCAGATATCACAAAGTAGTTTCTGAGAGGGCTTCTGTCTAGATTTTAGATGATGATATTCCCGTTTCCAACGAAATCATTAGAGCTATCCAAATATCCACTTACAGTTTCTACAAAAAGAGTGTTTCCAAACTGCTGCATCAAAAGAGAGGTTCCACTCTGTTAGCTGAGTACACACATCACAAACTTGTTTCTCAGAATCCTTCTGTCTCGTTTTTATGGGAAGATATTTACTTTTTCACCGTAGGCATCAAAGCACTCCAAATGTCCACATCCAGATACTCCAGAAAGAGTGTTTCAAACCTGCTCTATGAAAGGGAATCTTCAACTCTATGAGTTGAATGCAGACATCAGAAAGAAATTTCTGAGAATGCTGCTGTCTACCTTTTATTTGAATTCCCGCTTCCAACGAAATCCTCCAAGCTATCCAAATATCCACTTGCAGATTCCACAAAAAGAGTGTTTCAAAACTGCTCTCTATCAATGGCAAAGTTCAACTCTGTTAGTTGAGGACACATATCACCAACAAGTTTCTGAGAATGCTTCTGTCTATTTTTTATGGGAAGATATTTCCTTTTTCACCGTAGGCGTCAAGGCGATCGAAATGTCCACTTCCACAAACTACAAAAAGAGTGTTTCAAACCTGCTCTATGAAAGGCGATGTTCATCTCTATGAGTTGAATGGAAATATCCGAAAGAAATTTCTGGGAATGCTGCTGTCTAGTTTTTATACGAATTCCCGCTTCCAACGAAATCCTCAAAGGAATCCAAATATCCACTTGCAGAATCCACAAAAAGAGTGTTTCAAAACTGCTCTATCAATAGAAAGGTTCAACTCTTTTAGTTGAGTACACACATCACAAACAAGTTTCTGAGAATGCTTCTGTCTGGCTTGTATTGGAAGACGTTTCCTTTTCACCAAAGGCATCAAAGCGCTCCAAATGTCCACTTCCAGATTCTTCCAAAAGAGTGTTTCAAACGTGCTCAAAGTAAGGGAATGTTCAACTGCTGTGACTTGAATGCAGATATCACCAAGTAGTTTCTAATAGTGCTTCTGTCTACATTTTAGATGATGATATTCCCGTTTCCAACAAAATCGTTAGAGCTATCCAAATATCCAGTTACAGTTTCTACCAAAAGGGTGTTTCCAAATTGCTGCATCAAAAGAAAGGTTCAACTCTGTTAGTTGAGGACACACATCACAAAGAAGTTTGTGAGAATGCTTCTGTCTAGATTTTGTATGACGATATTCCCTTTTCCAACGATATCGTTAAAGCAATCTAAATATCAATTTGCAGAATCCACAAAAATAGAGTTTCAAAGCTGCTCTGTAAAAAGAAAGGTTCCACTCTGTTAGCTGAGTACACACATCACAAACTTGTTTCTGAGAAACCTTCTGTCTCGTTTTTATGGGAAGATATTTACTTTTCCACTGTAGGCATCAAAGCGCTCCAAATGTCCACATCCAGATACTCCAGAACGAGTGTTTCAAACCTGCTCTATGAAAAGGAATCTTCAACTCTATGAGTTGAATGCAGAATCAGAAAGAAATTTCTGAGAATGCTGCTGTCTACCTTTTATTTGAACTCCCGCTTCCAACGAAATCTTCCAAGCTATCCAAATATCCACTTGCATTTTCCACAAAAAGAGTGCTTCAAAACTGCTCTATCAATAGAAATGTTCAACTCCTTTAGCTGGGTGCACACATCACAAACAAGTTTCTGAGAATGCTTCTGTCTAGTTTTTATGGGTAGACATTCCCTTTTTCACCAAAGGAATCAAAGCGCTCCAAATGTCCACTTCCAGACACTACAAAAAGAGTGTTTCCAACGTGCTCTAAGAAAGCGAATGTTCAACTCTGTGACTTGAAGGCAGAAATCACAAAGTAGTTTCTGAGAGGGCTTCTGTCTAGATTTTAGATGATGATATTCCCGTTTCCAACGAAATCATTAGAGCTATCCAAATATCCACTTACGGTTTCTACAAAAAGAGTGTTTCCAAACTGCTGCATCAAAAGAGAGGTTCCACTCTGTTAGCTGAGTACACACATCACAAACTTGTTTCTGAGAATCCTTTCTGTCTCGTTTTTATGGGAAGATATTTACTTTCTCACCTTAGGCCTCAAAGCGCTCCAAATGTCCACATCCAGATACTCCAGAAAGAGTGTTTCAAACCTGCTTTATGAAAGGGAATCTTCAACTCTATGAGTTGAATGCAGACATCAGAAAGAAATTTCTGAGAATGCTGCTGTCTACCTTTTATTTGAATTCCCGCTTCCAACGAAATCCTCCAAGCTATCCAAATATCCACTTGCAGATTCCACAAAAAGAGTGTTTCAAAACTGCTCTCTATCAATGGCAAAGTTCAACTCTGTTAGTTGAGGACACATATCACCAACAAGTTTCTGAGAATGCTTCTGTCTATTTTTTATGGGAAGATATTTCCTTTTTCACCGTAGGCGTCAAGGCGATCGAAATGTCCACTTCCACAAACTACAAAAAGAGTGTTTCAAACCTGCTCTATGAAAGGCCATGTTCATCTCTATGAGTTGAATGGAAATATACGAAAGAAATTTCTGGGAATGCTGCTGTCTAGTTTTTATACGAATTCCCGCTTCCAACGAAATCCTCAAAGCAATCCAAATATCCACTTGCAGAATCCACAAAAAGAGTGTTTCAAAACTGCTCTATCAATAGAAAGGTTCAACTCTTTTAGTTGAGTACACACATCACAAACAAGTTTCTGAGAATGCTTCTGTCTGGCTTTTATTGGAAGACGTTTCCTTTTCACCAAAGGCATCATCAAAGCGCTCCAAATGTCCACTTCCAGATTCTTCCAAAAGAGTGTTTCAAACGTGCTCAAAGTAAGGGAATGTTCAACTCTGTGACTTGAATGCAGATATCACCAAGTAGTTTCTAATAGTGCTTTCTGTCTACATTTTAGATGATGATATTCCCTTTTCCAACGAAATCGTTAGAGCTATCCAAATATCCAGTTACAGTTTCTACCAAAAGGGTGTTTCCAAATTGCTGCATCAAAAGAAAGGTTCAACTCTGTTAGTTGAGGACACACATCACAAAGTAAGTTTGTGAGAATGCTTCTGTCTAGTATTTTGTATGACGATATTCCCTTTTCCAACGATATCATTAAAGCAATCTAAATATCCATTTGCAGAATCCACAAAAATAGAGTTTCAAAGCTGCTCTGTAAAAAGAAAGGTTCCACTCTGTTAGCTGAGTACACACATCACAAACTTGTTTCTCAGAATCCTTCTGTCTCGTTTTTATGGGAAGATATTTACTTTTTCACCGTAGGCATCAAAGCGCTCCAAATGTCCACATCCAGATACTCCAGAAAGAGTGTTTCAAACCTGCTCTATGAAAGGGAATCTTCAACTCTATGAGTTGAATGCAGACATCAGAAAGAAATTTCTGAGAATGCTGCTGTCTACCTTTTATTTGAATTCCCGCTTCCAACGAAATCCTCCAAGCTATCCAAATATCCACTTGCATTTTCCACAAAAAGAGTGTTTCAAAACTGCTCTATCAATAGAAATGTTCAACTCCCTTTGGCTGGGTACACACATCACAAACAAGTTTCTGAGAATGCTTCTGTCTAGTTTTTATGGGAAGACGTTCCCTTTTTCACCAAAGGCAACAAAGCGCTCCAAATGTCCACTTCCAGACACTACAAAAAGAGTGTTTCCAACGTGCTCTAAGAAAGCGAATGTTCAACTCTGTGACTTGAATGCAGATATCACAAAGTAGTTTCTGAGAGGGCTTCTGTCTAGATTTTAGATGATGATATTCCCGTTTCCAACGAAATCATTAGAGCTATCCAAATATCCACTTACAGTTTCTACAAAAAGAGTGTTTCCAAACTGCTGCATCAAAAGAGAGGTTCCACTCTGTTAGCTGAGTACACACATCACAAACTTGTTTCTCAGAATCCTTCTGTCTCGTTTTTATGGGAAGATATTTACGTTTCCACCGTAGACATCAAAGCGCTCCAAATGTCCACATCCAGATACTCCAGAAAGAGTGTTTCAAACCTGCTCTATGAAAGGGAATCTTCAACTCTATGAGTTGAATGCAGACATCAGAAAGAAATTTCTGAGAATGCTGCTGTCTACCTTTTATTTGAATTCCCGCTTCCAACGAAATCCTCCAAGCTATCCAAATATCCACTTGCAGATTCCACAAAAAGAGTGTTTCAAAACTGCTCTCTATCAATGGCAAAGTTCAACTCTGTTAGTTGAGGACACATATCACCAACAAGTTTCTGAGAATGCTTCTGTCTATTTTTTATGGGAAGATATTTCCTTTTTCACTGTAGGCGTCAAGGCGATCGAAATGTCCACTTCCACAAACTACAAAAAGAGTGTTTCAAACCTGCTCTATGAAAGGCGATGTTCATCTCAATGAGTTGAATGGAAATATCCGAAAGAAATTTCTGGGAATGCTGCTGTCTTGTTTTTATATGAATTCCCGCTTCCAACGAAATCCTCAAAGCAATCCAAATATCCACTTGCAGAATCCACAAAAAGAGTGTTTCAAAACTGCTCTATCAATAGAAAGGTTCAACTCTTTTAGTTGAGTACATACATCACCAACAAGTTTCTGAGAATGCTTCTGTCTGGCTTTTATTGGAAGACGTTTCCTTTTCACCAAAGGCATCAAAGCGCTCCAAATGTCCACTTCCAGATTCTTCCAAAAGAGTGTTTCAAACGTGCTCAAAGTAAGGGAATGTTCAACTCTGTGACTTGAATGCAGATATCACCAAGTAGTTTCTAATAGTGCTTCTGTCTAGATTTTAGATGATGATATTCCCGTTTCCAACGAAATCGTTAGAGCTATCCAAATATCCACTTACAGTTTCTACCAAAAGGGTGTTTCCAAATTGCTGCATCAAAAGAAAGGTTCAACTCTGTTAGTTGAGGACACACATCACAAAGAAGTTTGTGAGAATGCTTCTGTCTAGATTTTGTATGACGGTATTCCCTTTTCCAACGATATCGTTAAAGCAATCTAAATATCAATTTGCAGAATCCACAACAATAGAGTTTCAAAGCTGCTCTGTAAAAAGAAAGGTTCCACTCTTTTAGCTGAGTACACACATCGCAAACTTGTTTCTGAGAATCCTTCTCTCTCGTTTTTATGGGAAGATATTTACTTTTTCACCGTAGGCATCAAAGCGCTCCAAATGTCCACATCCAGATACTCCAGAAAGAGTGTTTCAAACCTGCTCTATGAAAGGGAATCTTCAACTCTATGAGTTGAATGCAGACATCAGAAAGAAATTTCTGAGAATGCTGCTGTCTACCTTTTATTTGAAATCCCGCTTCCAACGAAATCCTCCAAGCTATCCAAATATCCACTTGCATTTTCCACAAAAAGAGTGTTTCAAAACTGCTCTATCAATAGAAATGTTCAACTCCTTTAGCTGGGTACACACATCACAAACAAGTTTCTGAGAATGCTTCTGTCTAGTTTTTATGGGAAGACATTCCCTTTTTCACCAAAGGCATCAAAGCGCTCCAAATGTCCACTTCCAGACACTACAAAAAGAGTGTTTCCAACGTGCTCTAAGAAAGCGAATGTTCAACTCTGTGACTTGAATGCAGATATCACAAAGTAGTTTCTGAGAGTGCTTCTGTCTAGATTTTAGATGATGATATTCCCGTTTCCAACGAAATCATTAGAGCTATCCAAATATCCACTTACAGTTTCTACAAAAAGAGTATTTCCAAACTGCTGCATCAAAAGAGAGGTTCCACTCTGTTAGCTGAGTACACACATCACAAACTTGTTTCTGAGAATCCTTCTGTCTCGTTTTTATGGGAAGATATTTACTTTTTCACCATAGGCATCAAAGCGCTCCAAATGTCCACGTCCAGATACTCCAGAAAGAGTGTTTCAAACCTCCTCTATGAAAGGGAATCTTCAACTCTATGAGTTGAATGCAGACATCAGAAAGAAATTTCTGAGAATGCTGCTGTCTACCTTTTATTTGAATTCCCGCTTCCAACGAAATCCTCCAAGCTATCCAAATATCCACTTGCAGATTCCACAAAAAGAGTGTTTCAAAACTGCTCTCTATCAATCGCAAAGTTCAACTCTGTTAGTTGAGGACACATATCACCAACAAGTTTCTGAGAATGCTTCTGTCTATTTTTTATGGGAAGATATTTCCTTTTTCACCGTAGGCGTCAAGGCGATCGAAATGTCCACTTCCACAAACTACAAAAAGAGTGTTTCAAACCTGCTCTATGAAAGGCCATGTTCATCTCTATGAGTTGAATGGAAATATCCGAAAGAAATTTCTGGGAATGCTGCTGTCTAGTTTTTATATGAATTCCCGCTTCCAACGAAATCCTCAAAGCAATCCAAATATCCACTTGCAGAATCCACAAAAAGAGTGTTTCAAAACTGCGCTATCAATAGAAAGGTTCAACTCTTTTAGTTGAGTACACACATCACGAACAAGTTTCTGAGAATGCTTCTGTCTGGCTTTTATTGGAAGACGTTTCCTTTTCACCAAAGGCATCAAAGCGCTCCAAATGTCCACTTCCAGATTCTTCCAAAAGAGTGTTTCAAACGTGCTCGAAGTAAGGGAATGTTCTACTCTGTGACTTGAATGCAGATATCACCAAGTAGTTTCTAATAGTGCTTCTGTCTAGATTTTAGATGATGATATTCCCGTTTCCAACGAAATCGTTAGAGCTATCCAAATATCCACTTACAGTTTCTACAAAAAGAGTGTTTCCAAACTGCTGCATCAAAAGAAAGGTTCAACTCTGTTAGTTGAGGACACACATCACAAAGAAGTTTGTGAGAATGCTTCTGTCTAGATTTTGTATGACCATATTCCCTTTTCCAGCGATATCATTAAAGCAATCTAAATATCCATTTGCAGAATCCACAAAAATAGAGTTTCAAAGCTGCTCTGTAAAAAGAAAGGTTCCACTCTGTTAGCTGAGTACACACATCACAAACTTGTTTCTCAGAATCCTTCTGTCTCGTTTTTATGGGAAGATATTTACTTTTTCACCGTAGGCATCAAAGCGCTCCAAATGTCCACAACCAGATACTCCAGAAAGAGTGTTTCAAACCTGCTCTATGAAAGGGAATCTTCAACTCTATGAGCTGAATGCAGACATCAGAAAGAAATTTCTGAGAATGCTGCTGTCTACCTTTTATTTGAATTCCCGCTTCCAACGAAAACCTCCAAGCTATCCAAATATCCACTTGCATTTTCCACAAAAAGAGTGTTTCAAAACTGCTCTATCAATAGAAATGTTCAACTCCTTTGGCTGGGTACACACATCACAAACAAGTTTCTGAGAATGCTTCTGTCTAGTTTTTATGGGAAGACGTTCCCTTTTTCACCAAAGGCATCAAAGCGCTCCAAATGTCCACTTCCAGACACTACAAAAAGAGTGTTTCAAACGTGCTCTAAGAAAGCGAATGTTCAACTCTGTGACTTGAATGCAGATATCACAAAGTAGTTTCTGAGAGGGCTTCTGTCTAGATTTTAGATGATGATATTCCCGTTTCCAACGAAATCATTAGAGCTATCCAAATATCCACTTACAGTTTCTACAAAAAGAGTGTTTCCAAACTGCTGCATCAAAAGAGAGGTTCCACTCTGTTAGCTGAGTACACACATCACAAACTTGTTTCTCAGAATCCTCTGTCTCGTTTTTATGGGAAGAGATTTACTTTTTCACCGTAGGCATCAAAGCGCTCCAAATGTCCACATCCAGATACTCCAGAAAGAGTGTTTCAAACCTGCTCTATGAAAGGGAATCTTCAACTCTATGAGTTGAATGCAGACATCAGAAAGAAATTCCTGAGAATGCTGCTGTCTACCTTTTATTTGAATTCCCGCTTCCAACGAAATCCTCCAAGCTATCCAAATATCCACTTGCAGATTCCACAAAAAGAGTGTTTCAAAACTGCTCTCTATCAATGGCAAAGTTCAACTCTGTTAGTTGAGGACACATATCACCAACAAGTTTCTGAGAATGCTTCTGTCTATTTTTTATGGGAAGATATTTCCTTTTTCACCGTAGGCGTCAAGGCGATCGAAATGTCCACTTCCACAAACTACAAAAAGAGTGTTTCAAACCTGCTCTATGAAAGGCGATGTTCATCTCTATGAGTTGAATGGAAATATCCGAAAGAAATTTCTGGGAATGCTGCTGTCTAGTGTTTATATGAATTCCCGCTTCCAACGAAATCCTCAAAGCAATCCAAATATCCACTTGCAGAATCCACAAAAAGAGTGTTTCAAAACTGCTCTATCAATAGAAAGGTTCAACTCTTTTAGTTGAGTACACACATCACCAACAAGTTTCTGAGAATGCTTCTGTCTAGATTTTAGATGATGATATTCCCGTTTCCAACGAAATCGTTAGAGCTATCCAAATGTCCACTTACAGTTTCTACAAAAAGAGTGTTTCCAAACTGCTGCATCAAAAGAAAGGTTCAACTCTGTTAGTTGAGGACACACATCACAAAGAAGTTTGTGAGAATGCTTCTGTCTAGATTTTGTATGACGATATTCCCTTTTCCAACGATATCGTTAAAGCAATCTAAATATCAATTTGCAGAATCCACAAAAATAGAGTTTCAAAGCTGCTCTGTAAAAAGAAAGGTTCCACTCTTTTAGCTGAGTACACACATCACAAACTTGTTTCTGAGAATCCTTCTGTCTCGTTTTTATGGGAAGATATTTACTTTTTCACCGTAGGCATCAAAGCGCTCCAAATGTCCACATCCAGATACTCCAGAAAGAGTGTTTCAAACCTGCTCTATGAAAGGGAATCTTCAACTGCTATGAGTTGAATGCAGACATCAGAAAGAAATTTCTGAGAATGCTGCTGTCTACCTTTTATTTGAATTCCCGCTTCCAACGAAATCCTCCAAGCTATCCAAATATCCACCTGCATTTTCCACAAAAAGAGTGTTTGAAAACTGCTCTATCAATAGAAATGTTCAACTCCTTTGGCTGGGTACACACATCACAAACAAGTTTCTGAGAATGCTTCTGTCTAGTTTTTATGGGAAGACGTTCCCTTTTTCACCAAAGTCATCAAAGCGCTCCAAATGTCCACTTCCAGACACTACAAAAAGAGTGTTTCAAACGTGCTCTAAGAAAGCGAATGTTCAACTCTGTGACTTGAATGCAGATATCACAAAGTAGTTTCTGAGAGGGCTTCTGTCTAGATTTTAGATGATGATATTCCCGTTTCCAACGAAATCATTAGAGCTATCCAAATATCCACTTACAGTTTCTACAAAAAGAGTGTTTCCAAACTGCTGCATCAAAAGAGAGGTTCCACTCTGTTAGCTGAGTACACACATCACAAACTTGTTTCTCAGAATCCTGCTGTCTACCCTTTATTTGAATTCCCGCTTCCAACGAAATCCTCCAAGCTATCCAAATATCCACTTGCAGATTCCACAAAAAGAGTGTTTCAAAACTGCTCTCTATCAATGGCAAAGTTCAACTCTGTTAGTTGAGGACACATATCACCAACAAGTTTCTGAGAATGCTTCTGTCTATTTTTTATGGGAAGATATTTCCTTTTTCAGCGTAGGCGTCAAGGCGATCGAAATGTCCACTTCCACAAACTACAAAAAGAGTGTTTCAAACCTGCTCTATGAAAAGCCATGTTCATCTCTATGAGTTGAATGGAAATATCCGAAAGAAATTTCTGGGAATGCTGCTGTCTAGTGTTTATACGAATTCCCGCTTCCAACGGAAATCCTCAAAGCAATCCAAATATCCACTTGCAGAATCCACAAAAAGAGTGTTTCAAAACTGCTCTATCAATAGAAAGGTTCAACTCTTTTAGTTGAGTACACACATCACGAACAAGTTTCTGAGAATGCTTCTGTCTGGCTTTTATTGGAAGACGTTTCCTTTTCACCAAAGGCATCAAAGCGCTCCAAATGTCCACTTCCAGATTCTTCCAAAAGAGTGTTTCAAACGTGGTCGAAGTAAGGGAATGTTCAACTCTGTGACTTGAATGCAGATATCACCAAGTAGTTTCTAATAGTGCTTCTGTCTAGATTTTAGATGATGATATTCCCGTTTCCAACGAAATCGTTAGAGCTATCCAAATATCCAGTTACAGTTTCTACCAAAAGGGTGTTTCCAAATTGCTGCATCAAAAGAAAGGTTCAACTCTGTTAGTTGAGGACACACATCACAAAGAAGTTTGTGAGAATGCTTATCCTGTCTAGATTTTGTATGACCATATTCCCTTTTCCAACGATATCATTAAAGCAATCTAAATATCCATTTGCAGAATCCACAAAAATAGAGTTTCAAAGCTGCTCTGTAAAAAGAAAGGTTCCACTCTGTTAGCTGAGTACACACATCACAAACTTGTCTCTCAGAATCCTTCTGTCTCGTTTTTATGGGAAGATATTTACTTTTTCACCGTAGGCATCAAAGCGCTCCAAATGTCCACATCCAGATACTCCAGAAAGAGTGTTTCAAACCTGCTCTATGAAAGGGAATCTTCAACTCTATGAGTTGAATGCAGACATCAGAAAGAAATTTCTGAGAATGCTGCTGTCTACCTTTTATTTGAATTCCCGCTTCCAACGAAATCCTCCAAGCTATCCAAATATCCACCTGCATTTTCCACAAAAAGAGCGTTTCAAAACTGCTCTATCAATAGAAATGTTCAACTCCTTTGGCTGGGTACACACATCACAAACAGGTTTCTGAGAATGCTTCTGTCTAGTTTTTATGGGAAGACGTTCCCTTTTTCACAAAGGCATCAAAGCGCTCCAAATGTCCACTTCCAGACACTACAAAAAGAGTGTTTCAAACGTGCTCTAAGAAAGCGAATGTTCAACTCTGTGACTTGAATGCAGATATCACAAAGTAGTTTCTGAGAGGGCTTCTGTCTAGATTTTAGATGATGATATTCCCGTTTCCAACGAAATCATTAGAGCTATCCAAATATCCACTTACAGTTTCTACAAAAAGAGTGTTTCCAAACTGCTGCATCAAAAGAGAGGTTCCACTCTGTTAGCTGAGTACACACATCACAAACTTGTTTCTCAGAATCCTGCTGTCTACCTTTTATTTGAATTCCCGCTTCCAACGAAATCCTCCAAGCTATCCAAATATCCACTTGCAGATTCCACAAAAAGAGTGTTTCAAAACTGCTCTCTATCAATGGCAAAGTTCAACTCTGTTAGTTGAGGACACATATCACCAACAAGTTTCTGAGAATGCTTCTGTCTATTTTTTATGGGAAGATATTTCCTTTTTCACCGTAGCCGTCAAGGCGATCGAAATGTCCACTTCCACAAACTACAAAAAGAGTGTTTCAAACCTGCTCTATGAAAGGCCATGTTCATCTCTATGAGTTGAATGGAAATATCCGAAAGAAATTTCTGGGAATGCTGCTGTCTAGTTTTTATATGAATTCCCGCTTCCAACGAAATCCTCAAAGCAATCCAAATATCCACTTGCAGAATCCACAAAAAGAGTGTTTCAAAACTGCTCTATCAATAGAAAGGTTCAACTCTTTTAGTTGAGTACACACATCACGAACAAGTTTCTGAGAATGCTTCTGTCTGGCTTTTATTGGAAGACGTTTCCTTTTCACCAAAGGCATCAAAGCGCTCCAAATGTCCACTTCCAGATTCTTCCAAAAGAGTGTTTCAAACGTGCTCGAAGTAAGGGAATGTTCAACTCTGTGACTTGAATGCAGATATCACCAAGTAGTTTCTAATAGTGCTTCTGTCTACATTTTAGATGATGATATTCCCGTTTCCAACGAAATCGTTAGAGCTATCCAAATATCCAGTTACAGTTTCTACCAAAAGGGTGTTTCCAAATTGCTGCATCAAAAGAAAGGTTCAACTCTGTTAGTTGAGGACACACATCACAAAGAAGTTTGTGAGAGTGCTTCTGTCTAGATTTTGTATGACCATATTCCCTTTTCCAGCGATATCATTAAAGCAATCTAAATATCCATTTGCAGAATCCACAAAAATAGAGTTTCAAAGCTGCTCTGTAAAAAGAAAGGTTCCACTCTGTTAGCTGAGTACACACATCACAAACTTGTTTCTCAGAATCCTTCTGTCTCGTTTTTATGGGAAGATATTTACTTTTTCACCGTAGGCATCAAAGCGCTCCAAATGTCCACATCCAGATACTCCAGAAAGAGTGTTTCAAACCTGCTCTATGAAAGGGAATCTTCAACTCTATGAGTTGAATGCAGACATCAGAAAGAAATTTCTGAGAATGCCGCTGTCAACCTTTTATTTGAATTCCCGCTTCCAACGAAATCCTCCAAGCTATCCAAATATCCACCTGCATTTTCCACAACAAGAGTGTTTCAAAACTGCTCTATCAATAGAAATGTTCAACTCCTTTGGCTGGGTACACACATCACAAACAAGTTTCTGAGAATGCTTCTGTCTAGTTTTTATGGGTAGACATTCCCTTTTTCACCAAAGGCATCAAAGCGCTCCAAATGTCCACTTCCAGACACTACAAAAAGAGTGTTTCAAACGTGCTCTAAGAAAGCGAATGTTCAACTCTGTGACTTGAATGCAGATATCACACAGTAGTTTCTGAGAGTGCTTCTGTCTAGATTTTAGATGATGATATTCCCGTTTCCAACGAAATCATTAGAGCTATCCAAATATCCACTTACAGTTTCTACAAAAAGAGTGTTTGCAAACTGCTGCATCAAAAGAGAGGTTCCACTCTGTTAGCTGAGTACACACATCACAAACTTGTTTCTCAGAATCCTTCTGTCTCGTTTTTATGGGAAGATATTTACTTTTTCACCGTAGGCATCAAAGCGCTCCAAATGTCCACATCCAGATACTCCAGAAAGAGTGTTTCAAACCTGCTCTATGAAAGGGAATCTTCAACTCTATGAGTTGAATGCAGAGATCAGAAAGAAATTTCTGAGAATGCTGCTGTCTACCTTTTATTTGAATTCCCGCTTCCAACGAAATCCTCCAAGCTATCCAAATATCCACTTGCAGATTCCACAAAAAGAGTGTTTCAAAACTGCTCTCTATCAATGGCAAAGTTCAACTCTGTTAGTTGAGGACACATATCACCAACAAGTTTCTGAGAATGCTTCTGTCTATTTTTTATGGGAAGATATTTCCTTTTTCACCGTAGGCGTCAAGGCGATCGAAATGTCCACTTCCACAAACTACAAAAAGAGTGTTTCAAACCTGCTCTATGAAAGGCCATGTTCATCTCTATGAGTCGAATGGAAATATCCGAAAGAAATTTCTGGGAATGCTGCTGTCTACCTTTTATTTGAATTCCCGCTTCCAACGAAATCCTCCAAGCTATCCAAATATCCACCTGCATTTTCCAAAACAAGAGTGTTTCAAAACTGCTCTATCAATAGAAATGTTCAACTCCTTTGGCTGGGTACACACATCACAAACAAGTTTCTGAGAATGCTTCTGTCTGGCTTTTATTGGAAGACGTTTCCTTTTCACCAAAGGCATCAAAGCGCTCCAAATGTCCACTTCCAGATTCTTCCAAAAGAGTGTTTCAAACGTGCTCGAAGTAAGGGAATGTTCTACTCTGTGACTTGAATGCAGATATCACCAAGTAGTTTCTAATAGTGCTTCTGTCTAGATTTTAGATGATGATATTCCCGTTTCCAACGAAATCGTTAGAGCTATCCAAATGTCCAGTTACAGTTTCTACCAAAAGGGTGTTTCCAAATTGCTGCATCAAAAGAAAGGTTCAACTCTGTTAGTTGAGGACACACATCACAAAGAAGTTTGTGAGAATGCTTCTGTCTAGATTTTGTATGACCATATTCCCTTTTCCAACGATATCGTTAAAGCAATCTAAATATCAATTTGCAGAATCCACAAAAATAGAGTTTCAAAGCTGCTCTGTAAAAAGAAAGGTTCCACTCTGTTAGCTGAGTTCACACATCACAAACTTGTTTCTGAGAATCCTGCTGTCTACCTTTTATTTGAATTCCCGCTTCCAACGAAATCCTCCAAGCTATCCAAATATCCACTTGCATTTTCCACAAAAAGAGTGTTTCAAAACTGCTCTATCAATAGAAATGTTCAACTCCTTTAGCTGGGTACACACATCACAAACAAGTTTCTGAGAATGCTTCTGTCTAGTTTTTATGGGAAGACGTTCCCTTTTTCACCAAAGGCATCAAAGCGCTCCAAATGTCCACTTCCAGACACTACAAAAAGAGTGTTTCCAACGTGCCCTAAGAAAGCGAATGTTCAACTCTGTGACTTGAATGCAGATATCACAAAGTAGTTTCTGAGAGGGCTTCTGTCTAGATTTTAGATGATGATATTCCCGTTTCCAACGAAATCATTAGAGCTATCCAAATATCCAATTACAGTTTCTACAAAAAGAGTGTTTCCAAACTGCTGCATCAAAAGAGAGGTTCCACTCTGTTAGCTGAGTACACACATCACAAACTTGTTTCTCAGAATCCTTCTGTCTCGTTTTTATGGGAAGATATTTACTTTTTCACCGTAGGCATCAAAGCGCTCCAAATGTCCACATCCAGATACTCCAGAAAGACTGTTTCAAACCTGCTCTATGAAAGGGAATGTTCAACTCTATGAGTTGAATGCAGACATCAGAAAGAAATTTCTGAGAATGCTGCTGTCTACCTTTTATTTGAATTCCCGCTTACAACGAAATCCTCCAAGCTATCCAAATATCCACCTGCATTTTCCACAACAAGAGTGTTTCAAAACTGCTCTATCAATAGAAATGTTCAACTCCTTTGGCTGGGTACACACATCACAAACAAGTTTCTGAGAATGCTTCTGTCTATTTTTTATGGGAAGATATTTCCTTTTTCACCGTAGGCGTCAAGGCGATCGAAATGTCCACTTCCACAAACTACAAAAAGAGTGTTTCAAACCTGCTGCTATGAAAGGCCATGTTCATCTCTATGAGTCGAATGGAAATATCCGAAAGAAATTTCTGGGAATGCTGCTGTCTAGTTTTTATACGAATTCCCGCTTCCAACGAAATCCTCAAAGCAATCCAAATATCCACTTGCAGAATCCACAAAAAGAGTGTTTCAAAACTGCTCTATCAATAGAAAGGTTCAACTCTTTTAGTTGAGTACACACATCACAAACAAGTTTCTGAGAATGCTTCTGTCTGGCTTTTATTGGAAGACGTTTCCTTTTCACCAAAGGCATCAAAGCGCTCCAAATGTCCACTTCCAGATTCTTCCAAAAGAGTGTTTCAAACGTGCTCAACGTAAGGGAATGTTCAACTCTGTGACTTGAATGCAGATATCACCAAGTAGTTTCTAATAGTGCTTCTGTCTAGATTTTAGATGATGATATTCCCGTTTCCAACGAAATCGTTAGAGCTATCCAAATATCCACTTACAGTTTCTACAAAAAGAGTGTTTCCAAACTGCTGCATCAAAAGAAAGGTTCAACTCTGTTAGTTGAGGACACACATCACAAAGAAGTTTGTGAGAATGCTTCTGTCTAGATTTTGTATGACCATATTCCCTTTTCCAGCGATATCATTAAAGCAATCTAAATATCCATTTGCAGAATCCACAAAAATAGAGTTTCAAAGCTGCTCTGTAAAAAGAAAGGTTCCACTCTGTTAGCTGAGTACACACATCACAAACTTGTCTCTCAGAATCCTTCTGTCTCGTTTTTATGGGAAGATATTTACTTTTTCACCGTAGGCATCAAAGCGCTCCAAATGTCCACATCCAGATACTCCAGAAAGAGTGTTTCAAACCTGCTCTATGAAAGGGAATCTTCAACTCTATGAGTTGAATGCAGACATCAGAAAGAAATTTCTGAGAATGCTGCTGTCTACCTTTTATTTGAATTCCCGCTTCCAACGAAATCCTCCAACCTATCCAAATATCCACTTGCATTTTCCACAAAAAGAGTGTTTCAAAACTGCTCTATCAATAGAAATGTTCAACTCCTTTAGCTGGGTACACACATCACAAACAAGTTTCTGAGAATCCTTCTGTCTAGTTTTTATGGGAAGACATTCCCTTTTTCACCAAAGGCATCAAAGCGCTCCAAATGTCCACTTCCAGACACTACAAAAAGAGTGTTTCCAACGTGCTCTAAGAAAGCGAATGTTCAACTCTGTGACTTGAATGCAGATATCACAAAGTAGTTTCTGAGAGGACTTCTGTCTAGATTTTAGATGATGATATTCCCGTTTCCAACGAAATCATTAGAGCTATCCAAATATCCACTTACAGTTTCTACAAAAAGAGTGTTTCCAAACTGCTGCATCAAAAGAGAGGTTCCACTCTGTTAGCTGAGTACACACATCACAAACTTGTTTCTCAGAATCCTTCTGTCTCGTTTCTATGGGAAGATATTTACTTTTTCACCGTAGGCATCAAAGCGCTCCAAATGTCCACATCCAGATACTCCAGAAAGAGTGTTTCAAACCTGCTCTATGAAAGGGAATCTTCAACTCTATGAGTTGAATGCAGACATCAGAAAGAAATTTCTGAGAATGCTGCTGTCTACCTTTTATTTGAATTCCCGCTTCCAACGAAATCCTCCAAGCTATCCAAATATCCACTTGCAGATTCCACAAAAAGAGTGTTTCAAAACTGCTCTCTATCAATGGCAAAGTTCAACTCTGTTAGTTGAGGACACATATCACCAACAAGTTTCTGAGAATGCTTCTGTCTATTTTTTATGGGAAGATATTTCCTTTTTCACCGTAGGCGTCAAGGCGATCGAAATGTCCACTTCCACAAACTACAAAAAGAGTGTTTCAAACCTGCTCTATGAAAGGCCATGTTCATCTCTATGAGTTGAATGGAAATATCCGAAAGAAATTTCTGGGAATGCTGCTGTCTAGTTTTTATACGAATTCCCGCTTCCAACGAAATCCTCAAAGCAATCCAAATATCCACTTGCAGAATCCACAAAAAGAGTGTTTCAAAACTGCTCTATCAATAGAAAGGTTCCACTCTTTTAGTTGAGTACACACATCACAAACAAGTTTCTGAGAATGCTTCTGTCTAGCTTTTATGGGAAGACGTTTCCTTTTCACCAATGGCATCAAAGCGCTCCAAATGTCCAATTCCAGATTCTACAAAAAGAGTGTTTCAAACGTGCTCAAACTATGGTAACGTTCTACTCTCTGACTTGAATGCAGATATCACCAAGTAGTTGCTAATACTGCTTCTGTCTAGATTTTAGATGATGATATTCCCGTTTCAAATGAAATCGTTAGAGCTATCCAAATATCCACTTACAGTTTCTACAAAAAGAGTGTTTCCAAACTGCTGCATCAAAAGAAAGGTTCAACTCTGTTAGTTGAGGACACACATCACAAAGAAGTTTCTGAGAATGCTTCTGTCTAGATTTTGTATGACGATATTCCCTTTTCCAACGATATCGTTAAAGCAATCTAAATATCAATTTGCAGAATCCACAAAAATAGAGTTTCAAAGCTGCTCTGTAAAAAGAAAGGTTCCACTCTGTTAGCTGAGTATACACATCACAAACTTGTTTCTGAGAATCCTTCTGTCTCGTTTTTATGGGAAGATATTTACTTTTTCACCGTAGGCATCAAAGCGCTCCAAATGTCCACATCCAGATACTCCAGAAAGAGTGTTTCAAACCTGCTCTAGGAAAGGGAATCTTCAACTCTATGAGTTGAATGCAGACATCAGAAAGAAATTTCTGAGAATGCTGCTGTCTACCTTTTATTTGAATTCCCGCTTCCAACGAAATCCTCCAAGCTATCCAAATATCCACCTGCATTTTCCACAACAAGAGTGTTTCAAAACTGCTCTATCAATAGAAATGTTCAACTCCTTTGGCTGGGTACACACATCACAAACAAGTTTCTGAGAATGCTTCTGTCTAGTTTTTATGGGTAGACATTCCCTTTTTCACAAAAGGAATCAAAGCGCTCCAAATGTCCACTTCCAGACACTACAAAAAGAGTGTTTCAAACGTGCTCTAAGAAAGCGAATGTTCAACTCTGTGACTTGAATGCAGATATCACAAAGTAGTTTCTGAGAGGGCTTCTGTCTAGATTTTAGATGATGATATTCCCGTTTCCAACGAAATCATTAGAGCTATCCAAATATCCACTTACAGTTTCTACAAAAAGAGTGTTTCCAAACTTCTGCATCAGAAGAGAGGTTCCACTCTGTTAGCTGAGTACACACATCACAAACTTGTTTCTGAGAATCCTTCTGTCTCGTTTTTATGGGAAGATATTTACTTTTCCACCGTAGGCATCAAAGCGCTCCAAATGTCCACATCCAGATACTCCAGAAAGAGTGTTTCAAACCTGCTCTATGAAAGGGAATCTTCAACTCTATGAGTTGAATGCAGACATCAGAAAGAAATTTCTGAGAATGCTGCTGTCTACCTTTTATTTGAATTCCCGCTTCCAACGAAATCCTCCAAGCTATCCAAATATCCACTTGCAGATTCCACAAAAAGAGTGTTTCAAAACTGCTCTCTATCAATGGCAAAGTTCAACTCTGTTAGTTGAGAACACATATCACCAACAAGTTTCTGAGAATGCTTCTGTCTATTTTTTATGGGAAGATATTTCCTTTTTCACCATAGGCGTCAAGGCGATCGAAATGTCCACTTCCACAAACTACAAAAAGAGTGTTTCAAACCTGCTCTATGAAAGGCGATGTTCATCTCTATGAGTTGAATGGAAATATCCGAAAGAAATTTCTGGGAATGCTTGCTGTCTAGTTTTTATACGAATTCCCGCTTCCAACGAAATCCTCAAAGCAATCCAAATATCCACTTGCAGAATCCACAAAAAGAGTGTTTCAAAACTGCTCTATCAATAGAAAGGTTCAACTCTTTTAGTTGAGTACACACATCACAAACAAGTTTCTGAGAATGCTTCTGTCTGGCTTTTATTGGAAGACGTTTCCTTTTCACCAAAGGCATCAAAGCGCTCCAAATGTCCACTTCCAGATTCTTCCAAAAGAGTGTTTGAAACGTGCTCAAAGTAAGGGAATGTTCAACTCTGTGACTTGAATGCAGATATCACCAAGTAGTTTCTAATAGTGCTTCTGTCTAGATTTTAGATGATGATATTCCCGTTTCCAACGAAATCGTTAGAGCTATCCAAATATCCACTTAGTTTCTACAAAAAGAGTGTTTCCAAACTGCTGCATCAAAAGAAAGGTTCAACTCTGTTAGTTGAGGACACACATCACAAAGAAGTTTGTGAGAATGCTTCTGTCTAGATTTTGTATGACGATATTCCCTTTTCCAACGATATCGTTAAAGCAATCTAAATATCAATTTGCAGAATCCACAAAAATAGAGTTTCAAAGCTGCTCTGTAAAAAGAAAGGTTCCACTCTGTTAGCTGAGTACACACATCACAAACTTGTTTCTCAGAATCCTTCTGTCTCGTTTTTATGGGAAGATATTTACTTTTTCACCGTAGGCATCAAAGCGCTCCAAATGTCCACATCCAGATACTCCAGAAAGAGTGTTTCAAACCTGCTCTATGAAAGGGAATCTTCAACTCTATGAGTTGAATGCAGACATCAGAAAGAAATTTTCTGAGAATGCTGCTGTCTACCTTTTATTTGAATTCCCGCTTCCAACGAAATCCTCCAAGCTATCCAAATATCCACTTGCATTTTTCACAAAAAGAGTGTTTCAAAACTGCTCTATCAATAGAAATGTTCAACTCCTTTAGCTGGGTACACACATCGCAGACAAGTTTCTGAGAATGCTTCTGTCTAGTTTTTATGGGAAGACATTCCCTTTTTCACCAAAGGCATCAAAGCACTCCAAATGTCCACTTCCAGACACTACAAAAAGAGTGTTTCCAACGTGCTCTAAGAAAGCGAATGTTCAACTCTGTGACTTGAATGCAGATATCACAAAGTAGTTTCTGAGAGGGCTTCTGTCTAGATTTTAGATGATGATATTCCCGTTTCCAACGAAATCATTAGAGCTATCCAAATATCCACTTACAGTTTCTACAAAAAGAGTGTTTCCAAACTGCTGCATCAAAAGAGAGGTTCCACTCTGTTAGCTGAGTACACACATCACAAACTTGTTTCTCAGAATCCTTCTGTCTCGTTTTTCTGGGAAGATATTTACTTTTTCACCGTAGGCATCAAAGCGCTCCAAATGTCCACATCCAGATACTCCAGAAAGAGTGTTTCAAACCTGCTCTATGAAAGGGAATCTTCAACTCTATGAGTTGAATGCAGACATCAGAAGGAAATTTCTGAGAATGCTGCTGTCTACCTTTTATTTGAATTCCCGCTTCCAACGAAATCCTCCAAGCTATCCAAATATCCACTTGCAGATTCCACAAACAGAGTGTTTCAAAACTGCTCTCTATCAATGGCAAAGTTCAACTCTGTTAGTTGAGGACACATATCACCAACAAGTTTCTGAGAATGCTTCTGTCTATTTTTTATGGGAAGATATTTCCTTTTTCACCGTAGGCGTCAAGGCGATCGAAATGTCCACTTCCACAAACTACAAAAAGAGTGTTTCAAACCTGCTCTATGAAAGGCCATGTTCATCTCTATGAGTTGAATGGAAATATCCGAAAGAAATTTCTGGGAATGCTGGCTGTCTAGTTTTTATACGAATTCCCGCTTCCAACGAAATCCTCAAAGCAATCCAAATATCCACTTGCAGAATCCACAAAAAGAGTGTTACAAAACTGCTCTATCAATAGAAAGGTTCAACTCTTTTAGTTGAGTACACACATCACAAACAAGTTTCTGAGAATGCTTCTGTCTGGCTTTTATTGGAAGACGTTTCCTTTTCACCAAAGGCATCAAAGCGCTCCAAATGTCCACTTCCAGATTCTTCCAAAAGAGTGTTTGAAACGTGCTCAAAGTAAGGGAATGTTCAACTCTGTGACTTGAATGCAGATATCACCAAGTAGTTTCTAATAGTGCTTCTGTCTACCTTTTGATGATGATATTCCCGTTTCCAACGAAATCGTTAGAGCTATCCAAATATCCAGTTACAGTTTCTACCAAAAGGGTGTTTCCAAATTGCTGCATCAAAAGAAAGGTTCAACTCTGTTAGTTGAGGACACACATCACAAAGAAGTTTGTGAGAATGCTTCTGTCTAGATTTTGTATGACCATATTCCCTTTTCCAGCGATATCATTAAAGCAATCTAAATATCCATTTGCAGAATCCACAAAAATAGGGTTTCAAAGCTGCTCTGTAAAAAGAAAGGTTCCACTCTGTTAGCTGAGTACACACATCACAAACTTGTTTCTGAGAATCCTTCTGTCTCGTTTTTATGGGAAGATATTTACTTTTTCACCGTAGGCATCAAAGCGCTCCAAATGTCCACATCCAGATACTCCAGAAAGAGTGTTTCAAACCTGCTCTATGAAAGGGAATCTTCAACTCTATGAGTTGAATGCAGACATCAGAAAGAAATTTCTGAGAATGCTGCTGTCTACCTTTTATTTGAATTCCCGCTTCCAACGAAATCCTCCAAGCTATCCAAATATCCACCTGCATTTTCCACAAAAAGAGTGTTTCAAAACTGCTCTATCAATAGAAATGTTCAACTCCTTTGGCTGGGTACACACATCACAAACAAGTTTCTGAGAATGCTTCTGTCTAGTTTTTATGGGAAGACATTCCCTTTTTCACCAAAGGCATCAAAGCGCTCCAAATGTCCACTTCCAGACACTATAAAAAGAGTGTTTCCAACGTGCTCTAAGAAAGCGAATGTTCAACTCTGTGACTTGAATGCAGATATCACAAAGTAGTTTCTGAGAGGGCTTCTGTCTAGATTTTAGTTGATGATATTCCCATTTCCAACGAAATCATTAGAGCTATCCAAATATCCACTTACAGTTTCTACAAAAAGAGTGTTTCCAAACTGCTGCATCAGAAGAGAGGTTCCACTCTGTTAGCTGAGTACACACATCACAAACTTGTTTCTCAGAATCCTTCTGTCTCGTTTTTATGGGAAGATATTTACTTTTCCACCGTAGGCATCAAAGCGCTCCAAATGTCCACATCCAGATACTCCAGAACGAGTGTTTCAAACCTGCTCTATGAAAGGGAATCTTCAACTCTATGAGTTGAATGCAGACATCACAAAGAAATTTCTGAGAATGCTGCTGTCTACCTTTTATTTGAATTCCCGCTTCCAACGAAATCCTCCAAGCTATCCAAATATCCACTTGCAGATTCCACAAAAAGAGTGTTTCAAAACTGCTCTCTATCAATGGCAAAGTTCAACTCTGTTAGTTGAGGACACATATCACCAACAAGTTTCTGAGAATGCTTCTGTCTATTTTTATGGGAAGATATTTCCTTTTTCACCGTAGGCGTCAAGGCGATCGAAATGTCCACTTCCACAAACTACAAAAAGAGTGTTTCAAACCTGCTCTATGAAAGGCCATGTTCATCTCTATGAGTTGAATGGAAATATCCGAAAGAAATTTCTGGGAATGCTGCTGTCTAGTGTTTATACGAATTCCCGCTTCCAACGAAATCCTCAAAGCAATCCAAATATCCACTTGCAGAATCCACAAAAAGAGTGTTTCAAAACTGCTCTATCAATAGAAAGGTTCAACTCTTTTAGTTGAGTACACACATCACAAACAAGTTTCTGAGAATGCTTCTGTCTGGCTTTTATTGGAAGACGTTTCCTTTTCACCAAAGGCATCAAAGCGCTCCAAATGTCCACTTCCAGATTCTTCCAAAAGAGTGTTTCAAACGTGCTCGAAGTAAGGGAATGTTCTACTCTGTGACTTGAATGCAGATATCACCAAGTAGTTTCTAATAGTGCTTCTGTCTAGATTTTAGATGATGATATTCCCGTTTCCAACGAAATCGTTAGAGCTATCCAAATATCCACTTACAGTTGCTACAAAAACAGTGTTTCCAAACTGCTGCATCAAAAGAAAGGTTCAACTCTGTTAGTTGAGGACACACGTCACAAAGAAGTTTGTGAGAATGCTTCTGTCCAGCATTTTGTATGACGATATTCCCTTTTCCAACGATATCGTTAAAGCAATCTAAATATCCATTTGCAGAATCCACAAAAATAGAGTTTCAAAGCTGCTCTGTAAAAAGAAAGGTTCCACTCTGTTAGCTGAGTACACACATCACAAACTTGTCTCTCAGAATCCTTCTGTCTCGTTTTTATGGGAAGATATTTACTTTTTCACCGTAGGCATCAAAGCGCTCCAAATGTCCACATCCAGATACTCCAGAAAGAGTGTTTCAAACCTGCTCTATGAAAGGGAATCTTCAACTCTATGAGTTGAATGCAGACATCAGAAAGAAATTTCTGAGAATGCTGCTGTCTACCTTTTGTTTGAATTCCCGCTTCCAACGAAATCCTCCAAGCTATCCAAATATCCACCTGCATTTTCCACAAAAAGAGTGTTTCAAAACTGCTCTATCAATAGAAATGTTCAACTCCTTTGGCTGGGTACACACATCACAAACAAGTTTCTGAGAATGCTTCTGTCTAGTTTTTATGGGAAGACGTTCCCTTTTTCACCAAAGGCATCAAAGCGCTCCAAATGTCCAATTCCAGACACTACAAAAAGAGTGTTTCAAACGTGCTCTAAGAAAGTGAATGTTCAACTCTGTGACTTGAATGCAGATATCACAAAGTAGTTTCCTGAGAGGGCTTCTGTCTAGATTTTAGATGATGATATTCCCGTTTCCAACGAAATCATTAGAGCTATCCAAATATCCACTTACAGTTTCTACAAAAAGAGTGTTTCCAAACTGCTGCATCAAAAGAGAGGTTCCACTCTGTTAGCTGAGTACACACATCACAAACTTGTTTCTCAGAATCCTTCTGTCTCGTTTTTATGGGAAGATATTTACTTTTTCACCGTAGGCATCAAAGCGCTCCAAATGTCCACATCCAGATACTCCAGAAAGAGTGTTTCAAACCTGCTCTATGAAAGGGAATCTTCAACTCTATGTGTTGAATGCAGACATCAGAAAGAAATTTCTGAGAATGCTGCTGTCTACCTTTTATTTGAATTCCCGCTTCCAACGAAATCCTCCAAGCTATCCAAATATCCACCTGCATTTTCCACAAAAAGAGTGTTTCAAAACTGCTCTCTATCAATGGCAAAGTTCAACTCTGTTAGTTGAGGACACATATCACCAACAAGTTTCTGAGAATGCTTCTGTCTATTTTTTATGGGAAGATATTTCCTTTTTCACCGTAGGCGTCAAGGCGATCGAAATGTCCACTTCCACAAACTACAAAAAGAGTGTTTCAATATGAAAGGCCATGTTCATCTCTATGAGTTGAATGGAAATATCCAAAAGAAATTTCTGGGAATGCTGCTGTCTAGTGTTTATACGAATTCCCGCTTCCAACAAAATCCTCAAAGCAATCCAAATATCCACTTGCAGAATCCACAAAAAGAGTGTTTCAAAACTGCTCTATCAATAGAAAGGTTCAACTCTTTTAGTTGAGTACACACATCACGATCAAGTTTCTGAGAATGCTTCTGTCTGGCTTTTATTGGAAGACGTTTCCTTTTCACCAAAGGCATCAAAGCGCTCCAAATGTCCACTTCCAGATTCTTCCAAAAGAGTGTTTCAATCGTGCTCAAAGTAAGGGAATGTTCAACTCTGTGACTTGAATGCAGATATCACCAAGTAGTTTCTAATAGTGCTTCTGTCTAGATTTTAGATGATGATATTCCCGTTTCCAACGAAATCGTTAGAGCTATCCAAATATCCACTTACAGTTTCTACAAAAAGAGTGTTTCCAAACTGCTGCATCAAAAGAAAGGTTCAACTCTGTTAGTTGAGGACACACATCACAAAGAAGTTTGTGAGAATGCTTCTGTCTAGATTTTGTATGACGATATTCCCTTTTCCAACGATATCGTTAAAGCAATCTAAATATCCATTTGCAGAATCCACAAAAATAGAGTTTCAAAGCTGCTCTGTAAAAAGAAAGGTTCCACTCTGTTAGCTGAGTACACACATCACAAACTTGTTTCTCAGAATCCTTCTGTCTCGTTTTTATGGGAAGATATTTACTTTTCCACCGTAGGCATCAAACGCTCCAAATGTCCACATCCAGATACTCCAGAACGAGTGTTTCAAACCTGCTCTATGAAAGGGAATCTTCAACTCTATGAGTTGAATGCAGACATCAGAAAGAAATTTCTGAGAATGCTGCTGTCTACCTTTTATTTGAATTCGCGCTTCCAACGAAATCCTCCAAGCTATCCAAATATCCACCTGCATTTTCCACAACAAGAGTGTTTCAAAACTGCTCTATCAATAGAAATGTTCAACTCCTTTGGCTGGGTACACACATCACAAACAAGTTTCTGAGAATGCTTCTGTCTAGTTTTTATGGGTAGACATTCCCTTTTTCACCAAAGGAATCAAAGCACTCCAAATGTCCACTTCCAGACACTACAAAAAGAGTGTTTCAAACGTGCTCTAAGAAAGCGAACGTTCAACTCTGTGACTTGAATGCAGATATCACAAAGTAGTTTCTGAGAGTGCTTCTGTCTAGATTTTAGATGATGATATTCCCGTTTCCAACGAAATCATTAGAGCTATCCAAATATCCACTTACAGTTTCTACAAAAAGAGTGTTTCCAAACTGCTGCATCAAAAGAGAGGTTCCACTCTGTTAGCTGAGTACACACATCACAAACTTGTTTCTGAGAATCCTTCTGTGTCGTTTTTATGGGAAGATATTTACTTTTTCACCGTAGGCATCAAAGCGCTCCAAATGTCCACATCCAGATACTCCAGAGTGTTTCAAACCTGCTCTATGAAAGGGAATCTTCAACTCTATGAGTTGAATGCAGACATCAGAAAGAAATTTCTGAGAATGCTGCTGTCTACCTTTTATTTGAATTCCCGCTTCCAACGAAATCCTCCAAGCTATCCAAATATCCACTTGCAGATTCCACAAAAAGAGTGTTTCTAAACTGCTCTCTATCAATGGCAAAGTTCAACTCTGTTAGTTGAGGACACATATCACCAACAAGTTTCTGAGAATGCTTCTGTCTATTTTTTATGGGAAGATATTTCCTTTTTCACCGTAGGCGTCAAGGCGATCGAAATGTCCACTTCCACAAACTACAAAAAGAGTGTTTCAAACCTGCTCTATGAAAGGCCATGTTCATCTCTATGAGTTGAATGGAAATATCCGAAAGAAATTTCTGGGAATGCTGCTGTCTAGTTGTTATACGAATTCCCGCTTCCAACGAAATCCTCAAAGCAATCCAAATATCCACTTGCAGAATCCACAAAAAGAGTGTTTCAAAACTGCTCTATCAATAGAAAGGTTCAACTCTTTTAGTTGAGTACACACATCACAAACAAGTTTCCTGAGAATGCTTCTGTCTGGCTTTTATTGGAAGACGTTTCCTTTTCACCAAAGGCATCAAAGCGCTCCAAATGTCCACTTCCAGATTCTTCCAAAAGAGTGTTTGAAACGTGCTCAAAGTAAGGGAATGTTCAACTCTGTGACTTGAATGCAGATATCACCAAGTAGTTTCTAATAGTGCTTCTGTCTAGATTTTAGATGATGATATTCCCGTTTCCAACGAAATCGTTAGAGCTATCCAAATATCAAGTTACAGTTTCTACCAAAAGGGTGATTCCAAACTGCTGCATCAAAAGAAAGGTTCAACTCTGTTAGTTGAGGACACACATCACAAAGAAGTTTGTGAGAATGCTTCTGTCCAGATTTTGTATGACGATATTCCCTTTTCCAACGATATCGTTAAAGCAATCTAAATATCCATTTGCAGAATCCACAAAAATAGAGTTTCAAAGCTGCTCTGTAAAAAGAAAGGTTCCACTCTGTTAGCTGAGTACACACATCACAAACTTGTCTCTCAGAATCCTTCTGTCTCGTTTTTATGGGAAGATATTTACTTTTCCACCGTAGGCATCAAAGCGCTCCAAATGTCCACATCCAGATACTCCAGAACGAGTGTTTCAAACCTGCTCTATGAAAGGGAATCTTCAACTCTATGAGTTGAATGCAGACATCAGAAAGAAATTTCTGATAATGCTGCTGTCTACCTTTTATTTGAATTCCCGCTTCCAACGAAATCCTCCAAGCTATCCAAATATCCACCTGCATTTTCCACAACAAGAGTGTTTCAAAACTGCTCTATCAATAGAAATGTTCAACTCCTTTGGCTGGGTACACACATCACAAACAAGTTTCTGAGAATGCTTCTGTCTAGTTTTTATGGGTAGACATTCCCTTTTTCACCAAAGGAATCAAAGCGCTCCAAATGTCCACTTCCAGACACTACAAAAAGAGTGTTTCAAACGTGCTCTAAGAAAGCGAATGTTCAACTCTGTGACTTGAATGCAGATATCACACAGTAGTTTCTGAGAGTGCCTCTGTCTAGATTTTAGATGATGATATTCCCGTTTCCAACGAAATCATTAGAGCTATCCAAATATCCACTTACAGTTTCTACAAAAAGAGTGTTTCCAAACTGCTGCATCAAAAGAGAGGTTCCACTCTGTTAGCTGAGTACACACATCACAAACTTGTTTCTCAGAATCCTTCTGTCTCGTTTTTATTGGAAGATATTTACTTTTTCACCGTAGGCATCAAAGCGCTCCAAATGTCCACATCCAGATACTCCAGAAAGAGTGTTTCAAACCTGCTCTATGAAAGGGAATCTTCAACTCTATGAGTTGAATGCAGACATCAGAAAGAAATTTCTGAGAATGCTGCTGTCTACCTTTTATTTGAATTCCCGCTTCCAACGAAATCCTCCAAGCTATCCAAATATCCACTTGCAGATTCCACAAAAAGAGTGTTTCAAAACTGCTCTCTATCAATGGCAAAGTTCAACTCTGTTAGTTGAGGACACATATCACCAACAAGTTTCTGAGAATGCTTCTGTCTATTTTTTATGGGAAGATATTTCCTTCTTCACCGTAGGCGTCAAGGCGATCGAAATGTCCACTTCCACAAACTACAAAAAGAGTGTTTCAAACCTGCTCTATGAAAGGCCATGTTCATCTCTATGAGTCGAATGGAAATATCCGAAAGAAATTTCTGGGAATGCTGCTGTCTAGTTTTTATACGAATTCCCGCTTCCAACGAAATCCTCAAAGCAATCCAAATATCCACTTGCAGAATCCACAAAAAGAGTGTTTCAAAACTGCTCTATCAATAGAAAGGTTCAACTCTTTTAGTTGAGTACACACATCACAAACAAGTTTCTGAGAATGCTTCTGTCTGGCTTTTATTGGAAGACGTTTCCTTTTCACCAAAGGCATCAAAGCGCTCCAAATGTCCACTTCCAGATTCTTCCAAAAGAGTGTTTCAAACGTGTTCGAAGTAAGGGAATGTTCAACTCTGAGACTTGAATGCAGATATCACCAAGTAGTTTCTAATAGTGCTTCTGTCTAGATTTTAGATGATGATATTCCCGTTTCCAACGAAATCGTTAGAGCTATCCAAATATCCACTTACAGTTTCTACCAAAAGGGTGTTTCCAAATTGCTGCATCAAAAGAAAGGTTCAACTCTGTTAGTTGAGGACACACATCACAAAGAAGTTTGTGAGAATGCTTCTGTCTAGATTTTGTATGACCATATTCCCTTTTCCAACGATATCGTTAAAGCAATCTAAATATCAATTTGCAGAATCCACAAAAATAGAGTTTCAAAGCTGCTCTGTAAAAAGAAAGGTTCCACTCTGTTAGCTGAGTACACACATCACAAACTTGTTTCTGAGAATCCTTCTGTCTCGTTTTTATGGGAAGATATTTACTTTTCCACCGTAGGCATCGAAAGCGCTCCAAATGTCCACATCCAGATACTCCAGAACGAGTGTTTCAAACCTGCTCTATGAAAGGGAATCTTCAACTCTATGAGTTGAATGCAGACATCAGAAAGAAATTTCTGAGAATGCTGCTGTCTACCTTTTATTTGAATTCCCGCTTCCAACGAAATCCTCCAAGCTATCCAAATATCCACTTGCATTTTCCACAACAAGAGTGTTTCAAAACTGCTCTATCAATAGAAACGTTCAACTCCTTTGGCTGGGTACACACATCACAAACAAGTTTCTGAGAATGCTTCTGTCTAGTTTTTATGGGAAGACGTTCCCTTTTTCACCAAAGCCATCAAAGCGCTCCAAATGTCCACTTCCAGACACTACAAAAAGAGTGTTTCAAACGTGCTCTAAGAAAGCGAATGTTCAACTCTGTGACTTGAATGCAGATATCACAAAGTAGTTTCCTGAGAGTGCTTTCTGTCTAGATTTTAGATGATGATATTCCCGTTTCCAACGAAATAATTAGAGCTATCCAAATATCCACTTACAGTTTCTACAAAAAGAGTGTTTCCAAACTGCTGCATCAAAAGAGAGGTTCCACTCTGTTAGCTGAGTACACACATCACAAACTTGTTTCTCAGAATCCTGCTGTCTACCTTTTATTTGAATTCCCGCTTCCAACGAAATCCTCCAAGCTATCCAAATATCCACTTGCAGATTCCACAAAAAGAGTGTTTCAAAACTGCTCTCTATCAATGGCAAAGTTCAACTCTGTTAGTTGAGGACACATATCACCAACAAGTTTCTGAGAATGCTTCTGTCTATTTTTTATGGGAAGATATTTCCTTTTTCACCGTAGGCGTCAAGGCGATCGAACTGTCCACTTCCACAAACTACAAAAAGAGTGTTTCAATATGAAAGGCCATGTTCATCTCTATGAGTTGAATGGAAATATCCGAAAGAAAATTCTGGGAATGCTGCTGTCTAGTGTTTATACGAATTCCCGCTTCCAACGAAATCCTCAAAGCAATCCAAATATCCACTTGCAGAATCCACAAAAAGAGTGTTTCAAAACTGCTCTATCAATAGAAAGGTTCAACTCTTTTAGTTGAGTACACACACCACGAACAAGTTTCTGAGAATGCTTCTGTCTGGCTTTTATTGGAAGACGTTTCCTTTTCACCAAAGGCATCAAAGCGCTCCAAATGTCCACTTCCAGATTCTTCCAAAAGAGTGTTTCAAACGTGCTCAAAGTAAGGGAATGTTCAACTCTGTGACTTGAATGCAGATATCACCAAGTAGTTTCTAATAGTGCTTCTGTCTAGATTTTAGATGATGATATTCCCGTTTCCAACGAAATCGTTAGAGCTATCCAAATATCCACTTACAGTTTCTACAAAAAGAGTGTTTCCAAACTGCTGCATCAAAAGAAAGTTTCAACTCTGTTAGTTGAGGACACACATCACAAAGAAGTTTGTGAGAATGCTTCTGTCCAGATTTTGTATGACGATATTCCCTTTTCCAACGATATCATTAAAGCAATCTAAATATCCATTTGCAGAATCCACAAAAATAGAGTTTCAAAGCTGCTCTGTAAAAAGAAAGGTTCCACTCTGTTAGCTGAGTACACACATCACAAACTTGTCTCTCAGAATCCTTCTGTCTCGTTTTTATGGGAAGATATTTACTTTTTCACCGTAGGCATCAAAGCGCTCCAAATGTCCACATCCAGATACTCCAGAAAGAGTGTTTCAAACCTGCTCTATGAAAGGGAATCTTCAACTCTATGAGTTGAATGCAGACATGAGAAAGAAATTTCTGAGAATGCTGCTGTCTACCTTTTATTTGAATTCCCGCTTCCAACGAAATCCTCCAAGCTATCCAAATATCCACCTGCATTTTCCACAAAAAGAGCGTTTCAAAACTGCTCTATCAATAGAAATGTTCAACTCCTTTGGCTGGGTACACACATCACAAACAAGTTTCTGAGAATGCTTCTGTCTGGCTTTTATTGGAAGACGTTTCCTTTTTCACCAAAGGCATCAAAGCGCTCCAAATGTCCACTTCCAGACACTACAAAATGAGTGTTTCCAACGTGCTCTAAGAAAGCGAATGTTCAACTCTGTGACTTGAATGCAGATATCACAAAGTAGTTTCTAATAGTGCTTCTGTCTAGATTTTAGATGATGATATTCCCGTTTCCAACGAAATCATTAGAGCTATCTAAATATCCACTTACAGTTTCTACAAAAAGAGTGTTTCCAAACTGCTGCATCAAAAGAGAGGTTCCACTCTGTTAGCTGAGTACACACATCACAAACTTGATTCTGAGAATCCTTACTGTCTCGTTTTTATGGGAAGATATTTACTTTTTCACCGTAGGCATCAAAGCGCTCCAAATGTCCACATCCAGATACTCCAGAAAGAGTGTTTCAAACCTGCTCTATGAAAGAGAATGTTCAACTCTATGAGTTGAATGCAGACATCAGAAAGAAATTTCTGAGAATGCTGGCTGTCTACCTTTTATTTGAATTCCTGCTTCCAACGAAATCCTCCAAGCTATCCAAATATCCACTTGCAGATTCCACAAAAAGAGTGTCTCAAAACTGCTCTCTATCAATGGCGAAGTTCAACTCTGTTAGTTGAGGACACATATCACCAACAAGTTTCTGAGAATGCTTCTCTCTATTTTTTATGGGAAGATATTTCCTTTTTCACCGTAGGCATCAAGGCGATTGAAATGTCCACTTCCACAAACTACAAAAAGTGTGTTTCAAACCTGCTCTATGAAAGGCCATGTTCATCTCTATGAGTTGAATGGAAATATCCGAAAGAAATTCCTGGGAATGCTGCTGTCTAGTTTTTATACGAATTCCCGCTTCCAACGAAATCCTCAAAGCAATCCAAATATCCACTTGCAGAATCCACAAAAAGAGTGTTTCAAAACTGCTCTATCAATAGAAAGGTTCAACTCTTTTAGTTGAGTACACACATCACAAACAAGTTTCTGAGAATGCTTCTGTCTGGCTTTTATTGGAAGACGTTTCCTTTTCACCAAAGGCATCAAAGCAGCTCCAAATGTCCACTTCCAGATTCTTCCAAAAGAGTGTTTGAAACGTGCTCAAAGTAAGGGAATGTTCAACTCTGTGACTTGAATGCAGATATCACCAAGTAGTTTCTAATAGTGCTTCTGTCTAGATTTTAGATGATGATATTCCCGTTTCCAACGAAATCGTTAGAGCTATCCAAATATCCAGTTACAGTTTCTACCAAAAGGGTGTTTCCAAATTGCTGCATCAAAAGAAAGGTTCAACTCTGTTAGTTGAGGACACACATCACAAAGAAGTTTGTGAGAATGCTTCTGTCTAGATTTTGTATGACGATATTCCCTTTTCCAACGATATCGTTAAAGCAATCTAAATATCAATTTGCAGAATCCACAAAACTAGAGTTTCAAAGCTGCTCTGTTAAAAGAAAGGTTCCACTCTGTTAGCTGAGTACACACATCACAAACTTGTTTCTGAGAATCCTTCTGTCTCGTTTTTATGGGAAGATATTTACTTTTCCACCGTAGGCATCAAAGCGCTCCAAATGTCCACATCCAGATACTCCAGAACGAGTGTTTCAAACCTGCTCTATGAAAGGGAATCTTCAACTCTATGAGTTGAATGCAGACATCAGAAAGAAATTTCTGAGAATGCTGCTGTCTACCTTTTATTTGAATTCCCGCTTCCAACGAAATCCTCCAAGCTATCCAAATATCCACCTGCATTTTCCACAAAAAGAGTGTTTCAAAACTGCTCTATCAATAGAAATGTTCAACTCCTTTTGCTGGGTACACACATCACAAACAAGTTTCTGAGAATGCTTCTGTCTGGCTTTTATTGGAAGACGTTTCCTTTTCACCAAAGGCATCAAAGCGCTCCAAATGTCCACTTCCAGATTCTTCCAAAAGAGTGTTTCAAACGTGCTCGAAGTAAGGGAATGTTCTACTCTGTGACATGAATGCAGATAACACCAAGTAGTTTCTAATAGTGCTTCTGTCTAGATTTTAGATGATGATATTCCCGTTTCCAACGAAATCGTTAGAGCTATCCAAATATCCACTTACAGTTTCTACAAAAAGAGTGTTTCCAAACTGCTGCATCAAAAGAGAGGTTCCACTCTGTTAGCTGAGTACACACATCACAAACTTGTTTCTCAGAATCCTTCTGTCTCGTTTTTATGGGAAGATATTTACTTTTTCACCGTAGGCATCAAAGCGCTCCAAATGTCCACATCCAGATACTCCAGAAAGAGTGTTTCAAACCTGCTCTATGAAAGGGAATGTTCAACTCTATGAGTTGAATGCAGACATCAGAAAGAAATTTCTGAGAATGCTGCTGTCTACCTTTTATTTGAATTCCCGCTTCCAACGAAATCCTCCAAGCTATCCAAATATCCACTTGCAGATTCCACAAAAAGAGTGTTTCAAAACTGCTCTCTACCAATGGCAAAGTTCAACTCTGTTAGTTGAGGACACATATCACCAACAAGTTTCTGAGAATGCTTCTGTCTATTTTTTATGGGAAGATATTTCCTTTTTCACCGTAGGCGTCAAGGCGATCGAAATGTCCACTTCCACAAACTACAAAAAGAGTGTTTCAAACCTGCTCTATGAAAGGCCATGTTCATCTCTATGAGTTGAATGGAAATATCCGAAAGAAATTTCTGGGAATGCTGCTGTCTAGTGTTTATACGAATTCCCGCTTCCAACGAAATCCTCAAAGCAATCCAAATATCCACTTGCAGAATCCACAAAAAGAGTGTTTCAAAACTACTCTATCAATAGAAAGGTTCAACTCTTTTAGTTGAGTACACACATCACGAACAAGTTTCTGAGAATGCTTCTGTCTGGCTTTTATTGGAAGACGTTTCCTTTTCACCAAAGGCATCAAAGCGCTCCAAATGTCCACTTCCAGATTCTTCCAAAAGAGTGTTTCAAACGTCCTCAAAGTAAGGGAATGTTCAACTCTGTGACTTGAATGCAGATATCACCAAGTAGTTTCTAATAGTGCTTCTCTCTACATTTTAGATGATGATATTCCCGTTTCCAACGAAATCGTTAGAGCTATCCAAATATCCAGTTACAGTTTCTACCAAAAGGGTGTTTCCAAATTGCTGCATCAAAAGAAAGGTTCAACTCTGTTAGTTGAGGACACACATCACAAAGAAGTTTGTGAGAATGCTTCTGTCTAGATTTTGTATGACGATATTCCCTTTTCCAACGATATCGTTAAAGCAATCTAAATATCAATTTGCAGAATCCACAAAAATAGAGTTTCAAAGCTGCTCTGTAAAAAGAAAGGTTCCACTCTGTTAGCTGAGTACACACATCACAAACTTGTTTCTGAGAATCCTTCTGTCTCGTTTTTATGGGAAGATATTTACTTTTCCACCGTAGGCATCAAAGTGCTCCAAATGTCCACATCCAGATACTCCAGAACGAGTGTTTCAAACCTGCTCTATGAAAGGGAATCTTCAACTCTATGAGTTGAATGCAGACATCAGAAAGAAATTTCTGAGAATGCTGCTGTCTACCTTTTATTTGAATTCCCGCTTCCAACGAAATCCTCCAAGCTATCCAAATATCCACCTGCATTTTCCACAAAAAGAGTGTTTCAAAACTGCTCTATCAATAGAAATGTTCAACTCCTTTGGCTGGGTACACACATCACAAACAAGTTTCTGAGAATGCTTCTGTCTAGTTTTTATGGGAAGACATTCCCTTTTTCACCAAAGGCATCAAAGCGCTCCAAATGTCCTCTTCCAGACACTACAAAAAGAGTGTTTCAAACGTGCTCTAAGAAACCGAATGTTCAACTCTGTGACTTGAATGCAGATATCACAAAGTAGTTTCTGAGACGGCTTCTGTCTAGATTTTAGATGATGATATTCCCGTTTCCAACGAAATCATTAGAGCTATCCAAATATCCACTTACAGTTTCTACAAAAAGAGTGTTTCCAAACTGCTGCATCAAAAGAGAGGTTCCACTCTGTTAGCTGAGTACACACATCACAAACTTGTTTCTCAGAATCCTTCTGTCTCGTTTTTATGGGAAGATATTTACTTTTTCACCGTAGGCCTCAAAGCGCTCCAAATGTCCACATCCAGATACCACAGAAAGAGTATTTCAAACCTGCTCTATGAAAGGGAATGTTCAACTCTATGAGTTGAATGCAGACATCAGAAAGAAATTTCTGAGAATGCTGCTGTCTACCTTTTATTTGAATTCCCGCTTCCAACGAAATCCTCCAAGCTATCCAAATATCCACTTGCAGATTCCACAAAAAGAGTGTTTCAAAACTGCTCTCTATCAATGGCAAAGTTCAACTCTGTTAGTTGAGGACACATATCACCAACGAGTTTCTGAGAATGCTTCTGTCTATTTTTTATGGGAAGATATTTCCTTTTTCAGCGTAGGAGTCAAGGCGATCGAAATGTCCACTTCCACAAACTACAAAAAGAGTGTTTCAAACCTGCTCTATGAAAGGCCATGTTCATCTCTATGAGTTGAATGGAAATATCCGAAAGAAATTTCTGGGAATGCTGCTGTCTAGTTTTTATATGAAATCCCGCTTCCAACGAAATGCTCAAAGCAATCCAAATATCCACTTGCAGATTCCACAAAAAGAGTGTTTCAAAACAGCTCTATCAATAGAAAGGTTCAACTCTTTTAGTTGAGTACACACATCACAAACAACTTTCTGAGAATGCTTCTGTCTGGCTTTTATTGGAAGACGTTTCCTTTTCACCAAAGGCATCAAAGCGCTCCAAATGTCCACTTCCAGATTCTTCCAAAAGAGTGTTTCAAACGTGCTCAAAGTAAGGGAATCTTCAACTCTGTGACTTGAATGCAGATATCACCAAGTAGTTTCTAATAGTGCTTCTGTCTAGATTTTAGATGATGATATTCCCGTTTCCAACGAAATCGTTAGAGCTATCCAAATATCCACTTACAGTTTCTACAAAAACAGTGTTTCCAAACTGCTGCATCAAAAGAAAGGTTCAACTCTGTTAGTTGAGGACACACATCACAAAGAAGTTTGTGAGAATGCTTCTGTCTAGATTTTGTATGACCATATTCCCTTTTCCAGCGATATCGTTAAAGCAATCTAAATATCCATTTGCAGAATCCACAAAAATAGAGTTTCAAAGCTGCTCTGTAAAAAGAAAGGTTCCACTCTGTTAGCTGAGTACACACATCACAAACTTGTTTCTCAGAATCCTTCTGTCTCGTTTTTATGGGAAGATACTTACTTTTCCACCGTAGGCATCAAAGCGCTCCAAATGTCCACATCCAGATACTCCAGAACGAGTGTTTCAAACCTGCTCTATGAAAGGGAATCTTCAACTCTATGAGTTGAATGCAGACATCAGAAAGAAATTTCTGAGAATGCTGCTGTCTACCTTTTATTTGAATTCCCGCTTCCAACGAAATCCTCCAAGCTATCCAAATATCAACTTGCATTTTCCACAAAAAGAGTGTTTCAAAACTGCTCTATCAATAGAAATGTTCAACTCCTTTAGCTGGGTACACACATCACAAACAAGTTTCTGAGAATGCTTCTGTCTATTTTTTATGGGAAGACATTCCCTTTTTCACCAAAGGCATCAAAGCGCTCCAAATGTCCACTTCCAGACACTATAAAAAGAGTGTTTCAAACGTGCTCTAAGAAAGCGAATGTTCAACTCTGTGACTTGAATGCAGATATCACAAAGTAGTTTCTGAGAGGGCTCTGTCTAGATTTTAGATGATGATATTCCCGTTTCCAACGAAATCATTAGAGCTATCCAAATATCCACTTACAGTTTCTACAAAAAGAGTGTTTCCAAACTGCTGCATCAAAAGAGAGGTTCCACTCTGTTAGCTGAGTACACACATCACAAACTTGTTTCTCAGAATCCTTTCTGTCTCGTTTTTATGGGAAGATATTTACTTTTTCATCGTAGGCCTCAAAGCGCTCCAAATGTCCACATCCAGATACTACAGAAAGAGTATTTCAAACCTGCCCTATGAAAGGGAATGTTCAACTCTATGAGTTGAATACAGACATCAGAAAGAAATTTCTGAGAATGCTGCTGTCTACCTTTTATTTGAATTCCCGCTTCCAACGAAATCCTCCAAGCTATCCAAATATCCACTTGCAGATTCCACAAAAAGAGTGTTTCAAAACTGCTCTCTATCAATGGCAAAGTTCAACTCTGTTAGTTGAGGACACATATCACTAACAAGTTTCTGAGAATGCTTCTGTCTATTTTTTATGGGAAGGATATTTCCTTTTTCACCGTAGGCGTCAAGGCGATCGAAATGTCCACTTCCACAAACTACAAAAAGAGTGTTTCAAACCTGCTCTATGAAAGGCCATGTTCATCTCTATGAGTCGAATGGAAATATCCGAAAGAAATTTCTGGGAATGCTGCTGTCTAGTTTTTATACGAATTCCCGCTTCCAACGAAATCCTCAAAGCAATCCAAATATCCACTTGCAGAATCCACAAAAAGAGTGTTTCAAAACTGCTCTATCAATAGAAAGGTTCAACTCTTTTAGTTGAGTACACACATCACAAACAAGTTTCTGAGAATGCTTCTGTCTGGCTTTTATTGGAAGATGTTTCCTTTTCACCAAAGGCATCAAAGCGCTCCAAATGTCCACTTCCAGATTCTTCCAAAAGAGTGTTTGAAACGTGCTCAAAGTAAGGGAATGTTCAACTCCGTGACTTGAATGCAGATATCACCAAGTAGTTTCTAATAGTGCTTCTGTCTAGATTTCAGATGATGATATTCCCGTTTCCAACGAAATCGTTAGAGCTAAGCAAATATCCAGTTACAGTTTCTACCAAAAGGGTGTTTCCAAATTGCTGCATCAAAAGAAAGGTTCAACTCTGTTAGTTGAGGACACACATCACAAAGAAGTTTGTGAGAATGCTTCTGTCTAGATTTTGTATGACGATATTCCCTTTTCCAACGATATCGTTAAAGCAATCTAAATATCAATTTGCAGAATCCACGAAAATAGAGTTTCAAAGCTGCTCTGTAAAAATAAAGGTTCCACTCTGTTAGCTGAGTACACACATCACAAACTTGTTTCTGAGAATCCTTCTGTCTCGTTTTTATGGGAAGATATTTACTTTTCCACCGTAGGCATCAAAGCGCTCCAAATGTCCACATCCAGATACTCCAGAACGAGTGTTTCAAACCTGCTCTATGAAAGGGAATCTTCAACTCTATGAGTTGAATGCAGACATCAGAAAGAAATTTCTGAGAATGCTGCTGTCTACCTTTTATTTGAATTCCCGCTTCCAACGAAATCCTCCAAGCTATCCAAATATCCACTTGCATTTTCCACAAAAAGAGTGTTTCAAACCTGCTCTATCAATAGAAATGTTCAACTCCTTTGGCTGGGTACACACATCACAAACAAGTTTCTGAGAATGCTTCTGTCTAGTTTTTATGGGAAGACGTTCCCTTTCTCACCAAAGGCATCAAAGCGCTCCAAATGTCCACTTCCAGACACTACAAAAAGAGTGTTTCCAACGTGCTCTAAGAAAGCGAATGTTCAACTCTGTGACTTGAATGCAGATATCACAAAGTAGTTTCTGAGAGGGCTTCTGTCTAGATTTTAGATGATGATATTCCGGTTTCCAACGAAATCATTAGAGCTATCCAAATATCCACTTACAGTTTCTACAAAAAGAGTGTTTCCAAACTGCTGCATCAAAAGAGAGGTTCCACTCTGTTAGCTGAGTACACACATCACAAACTTGTTTCTCAGAATCCTTCTGTCTAGCTTTTATGGGAAGATATTTACTTTTTCACCGTAGGCATCAAAGCGTTCCAAATGTCCACATCCAGATAGTACAGAAAGAGTGTTTCAAACCTGCTCTATGACAGGGAATGTTCAACTCTATGAGTTGAATGCAAACATCACAAAGAAATTTCTGAGAATGCTGCTGTCTACCTTTTATTTGAATTCCCGCTTCCAACGAAATCCTCCAAGCTATCCAAATATCCACTTGCAGATTCCACAAAAAGAGTGTTTCAAAACTGCTCTCTATCAATGGCAAAGTTCAACTCTGTTAGTTGAGGACACATATCACCAACAAGTTTCTGAGAATGCTTCTGTCTATTTTTTATGGGAAGATATTTCCTTTTTCACCGTAGGCGTCAAGGCGATCGAAATGTCCACTTCCACAAACTACAAAAAGAGTGTTTCAAACCTGCTCTATGAAAGGCCATGTTCATCTCTATGAGTTGAATGGAAATATCCGAAAGAAATTTCTGGCAATGCTGCTGTCTAGTTTTTATACGAATTCCCGATTCCAACGAAATCCTCAAAGCAATCCAAATATCCACTTGCAGAATCCACAAAAAGAGTGTTTCAAAACTGCTCTATCAATAGAAAGGTTCAACTCTTTTAGTTGAGTACACACATCACGAACAAGTTTCTGAGAATGCTTCTGTCTGGCTTTTATTGGAAGACGTTTCCTTTTCACCAAAGGCATCAAAGCGCTCCAAATGTCCACTTCCAGATTCTTCCAAAAGAGTGTTTCAAACGTGCTCAAAGTAAGGGAATGTTCAACTCTGTGACTTGAATGCAGATATCACCAAGTAGTTTCTAATAGTGCTTCTGTCTAGATTTTAGATGATGATATTCCCGTTTCCAACGAAATCGTTAGAGCTATCCAAATATCCACTTACAGTTTCTACCAAAAGGGTGTTTCGAAACTGCTGCATCAAAAGAAAAGTTCAACTCTGTTAGTTGAGGACACACATCTCAAAGCTGTTTGTGAGAATGCTTCTGTCTAGATTTTGTATGACGGTATTCCCTTTTCCAACGATATCGTTAAAGCAATCTAAATATCAATTTGCAGAATCCACAACAATAGAGTTTCAAAGCTGCTCTGTAAAAAGAAAGGTTCCACTCTGTTAGCTGAGTACACACATTACAAACTTGTTTCTGAGAATCCTTTCTGTCTCGTTTTTATGGGAAGATATTTACTTTTCCACCGTAGGCATCAAAGCGCTCCAAATGTCCACATCGAGATACTCCAGAACGAGTGTTTCAAACCTGCTCTATGAAAGGGAATCTTCAACTCTATGAGTTGAATGCAGACATCAGAAAGAAATTTCTGAGAATGCTGCTGTCTACCTTTTATTTGAATTCCCGCTTCCAACGAAATCCTCCAAGCTATCCAAATATCCACCTGCATTTTCCACAACAAGAGTGTTTCAAAACTGCTCTATCAATAGAAATGTTCAACTCCTTTGGCTGGGTACACACATCACAAACAAGTTTCTGAGAATGCTTCTGTCTAGTTTTTATGGGTAGACATTCCCTTTTTCACCAAAGACATCAAAGCGCTCCAAATGTCCACTTCCAGACACTACAAAAAGAGTGTTTCAAACGTGCTCTAAGAAAGCGAATGTTCAACTCTGTGACTTGAATGCAGATATCACAAAGTAGTTTCTGAGAGGGCTTCTGTCTAGATTTTAGATGATGATATTCCCGTTTCCAACGAAATCATTAGAGCTATCCAAATATCCACTTACAGTTTCTACAAAAAGAGTGTTTCCAAACTGCTGCATCAAAAGAGAGGTTCCACTCTGTTAGCTGAGTACACACATCACAAACTTGTTTCTCAGAATCCTTCTCTCTCGTTTTTATTGGAAGATATTTACTTTCTCACCGTAGGCCTCAAAGCGCTCCAAATGTCCACATCCAGATACTCCAGAAAGAGTGTTTCAAACCTGCTCTATGAAAGGGAATCTTCAACTCTATGAGTTGAATGCAGACATCAGAAAGAAATTTCTGAGAATGCTGCTGTCTACCTTTTATTTGAATTCCCGCTTCCAACGAAATCCTCCAAGCTATCCAAATATCCACTTGCAGATTCCACAAAAAGAGTGTTTCAAAACTGCTCTCTATCAATGGCAAAGTTCAACTCTGTTAGTTGAGGACACATATCACAAACAAGTTTCTGAGAATGCTTCTGTCTATTTTTTATGGGAAGATATTTCCTTTTTCACCGTAGGCGTCAAGGCGATCGAAATGTCCACTTCCACAAACTACAAAAAGAGTGTTTCAAACCTGCTCTATGAAAGGCCATGTTCATCTCTATGAGTTGAATGGAAATATCCGAAAGAAATTTCTGGGAATGCTGCTGTCTAGTTTTTATACGAATTCCCGCTTCCAACGAAATCCTCAAAGCAATCCAAATATCCACTTGCAGAATCCACAAAAAGAGTGTTTCAAAACTGCTCTATCAATAGAAAGGTTCAACTCTTTTAGTTGAGTACACACATCAGAAACAAGTTTCTGAGAATGCTTCTGTCTGGCTTTTATTGGAAGACGTTTCCTTTTCACCAAAGGCATCAAAGCGCTCCAAATGTCCACTTCCAGATTCTTCTAAAAGAGTGTTTCAAACGTGGTCGAAGTAAGGGAATGTTCTACTCTGTGACTTGAATGCAGATATCACCAAGTAGTTTCTAATAGTGCTTCTGTCTAGATTTTAGATGATGATATTCCCGTTTCCAACGAAATCGTTAGAGCTATCCAAATATCCAGTTACAGTTTCTACCAAAAGGGTGTTTCCAAATTGCTGCATCAAAAGAAAGGTTCAACTCTGTTAGTTGAGGACACACATCACAAAGAAGTTTGTGAGAATGCTTCTGTCCAGATTTTGTATGACGATATTCCCTTTTCCAACGATATCGTTAAAGCAATCTAAATATCCATTTGCAGAATCCACAAAAATAGAGTTTCAAAGCTGCTCTGTAAAAAGAAAGGTTCCACTCTGTTAGCTGAGTACACACATCACAAACTTGTTTCTCAGAATCCTTCTGTCTCGTTTTTATGGGAAGATATTTACTTTTCCACCGTAGGCATCAAAGCGCTCCAAATGTCCACATCCAGATACTCCAGAACGAGTGTTTCAAACCTGCTCTATGAAAGGGAATCTTCAACTCTATGAGTTGAATGCAGACATCAGAAAGAAATTTCTGAGAATGCTGCTGTCTACCTTTTATTTGAATTCCCGCTTCCAACGAAATCCTCCAAGCTATCCAAATATCCACCTGCATTTTCCACAACAAGAGTGTTTCAAAACTGCTCTATCAATAGAAATGTTCAACTCCTTTGGCTGGGTACACACATCACAAAGAAGTTTCTGAGAATGCTTCTGTCTAGTTTTTATGGGAAGACATTCCCTTTTTCACCAAAGGCATCAAAGCGCTCCAAATGTCCACTTCCAGACACTACAAAAAGAGTGTTTCAAACGTGCTCTAAGAAACCGAATGTTCAACTCTGTGACTTGAATGCAGATATCACAAAGTAGTTTCTGAAAGGGCTTCTGTCTAGATTTTAGATGATGATATTCCCGTTTCCAACGAAATCATTAGAGCTATCCAAATATCCACTTACAGTTTCTACAAAAAGAGTGTTTCCAAACTGCTGCATCAAAAGAGAGGTTCCACTCTGTTAGCTGAGTACACACATCACAAACTTGTTTCTCAGAATCCTTCTGTCTCGGTTTTATGGGAAGATATTTACTTTCTCACCGAAGGTACCAAAGCGCTCCAAATGTCCACATCCAGATACTCGAGAAAGAGTGTTTCAAACCTGCTCTATGAAAGGGAATCTTCAACTCTATGAGTTGAATGCAGACATCAGAAAGAAATTTCTGAGAATGCTGCTGTCTACCTTTTATTTGAATTCCCACTTCCAACGAAATCCTCCAAGCTATCCAAATATCCACTTGCAGATTCCACAGAAAGAGTGTTTCAAAACTGCTCTCTATCAATGGCAAAGTTCAACTCTGTTAGTTGAGGACACATATCACCAACAAGTTTCTGAGAATGCTTCTGTCTATTTTCTTATGGGAAGATATTTCCTTTTTCACCGTAGGCGTCAAGGCGATCGAAATGTCCACTTCCACAAACTACAAAAAGAGTGTTTCAAACCTGCTCTATGAAAGGCGATGTTCATCTCTATGAGTTGAATGGAAATATCCGAAAGAAATTTCTGGGAATGCTGCTGTCTAGTTTTTATATGAATTCCCGCTTCCAACGAAATCCTCAAAGCAATCCAAATATCCACTTGCAGAATCCACAAAAAGAGTGTTTCAAAACTGCTCTATCAATAGAAAGGTTCAACTCTTTTAGTTGAGTACACACATCACCAACAAGTTTCTGAGAATGCTTCTGTCTGGCTTTTATTGGAAGACGTTTCCTTTTCACCAAAGGCATCAAAGCGCTCCAAATGTCCACTTCCAGATTCTTCCAAAAGAGTGTTTGAAACGTGCTCAAAGTAAGGGAATGTTCAACTCTGTGACTTGAATGCAGATATCACCAAGTAGTTTCTAATAGTGCTTCTGTCTAGATTTTAGATGACGATATTCCCGTTTCCAGCGAAATCGTTAGAGCTATCCAAATATCCACTTACAGTTTCTACAAAAAGAGTGTTTCCAAACTGCTGCATCAAAAGAAAGGTTCAACTCTGTTAGTTGAGGACACACATCACAAAGAAGTTTGTGAGAATGCTTCTGTCTAGAATTTGTATGACGATATTCCCTTTTCCAACGATATCGTTAAAGCAATCTAAATATCAATTTGCAGAATCCACAAAAATAGAGTTTCAAAGCTGCTCTGTAAAAAGAAAGGTTCCACTCTTTTAGCTGAGTACACACATCACAAACTTGTTTCTGAGAATCCTTCTGTCTCGTTTTTATGGGAAGATATTTACTTTTTCACCGTAGGCATCAAAGCGCTCCAAATGTCCACATCCAGATACTCCAGAAAGAGTGTTTCAAACCTGCTCTATGAAAGGGAATCTTCAACTCTATGAGTTGAATGCAGACATCAGAAAGAAATTTCTGAGAATGCTGCTGTCTACCTTTTATTTGAATTCCCGCTTCCAACGAAATCCTCCAAGCTATCCAAATATCCACTTGCATTTTCCACAACAAGAGTGTTTCAAAACTGCTCTATCAATAGAAACGTTCAACTCCTTTGGCTGGGTACACACATCACAAACAAGTTTCTGAGAATGCTTCTGTCTAGTTTTTATGGGAAGACGTTCCCTTTTTCACCAAAGCCATCAAAGCGCTCCAAATGTCCACTTCCAGACACTACAAAAAGAGTGTTTCAAACGTGCTCTAAGAAAGCGAATGTTCAACTCTGTGACTTGAATGCAGATATCACAAAGTGGTTTCTGAGAGTGCTTCTGTCTAGATTTTAGATGATGATATTCCCGTTTCCAACGAAATCATTAGAGCTATCCAAATATCCACTTACAGTTTCTACAAAAAGAGTGTTTCCAAACTGCTGCATCAAAAGAGAGGTTCCACTCTGTTAGCCGAGTACAGACATCACAAACTTGTTTCTCAGAATCCTTCTGTCTCGTTTTTATGGGAAGATATTTACTTTTTCACCGTAGGCATCAAAGCGCTCCAAATGTCCACATCCGGATACTCCAGAAAGAGTGTTTCAAACCTGCTCTATGAAAGGGAATCTTCAACTCTATGAGTTGAATGCAGACATCAGAAAGAAATTTCTGAGAATGCTGCTGTCTACCTTTTATTTGAATTCCCGCTTCCAACGAAATCCTCCAAGCTATCCAAATATCCACTTGCAGATTCCACAAAAAGAGTGTTTCAAAACTGCTCTCTATCAATGGCAAAGTTCAACTCTGTTAGTTGAGGACACATATCACCAACAAGTTTCTGAGAATGCTTCTGTCTATTGTTTATGGGAAGATATTTCCTTTTTCACCGTAGGCGTCAACGCGATCGAAATGTCCACTTCCACAAACTACAAAAAGAGTGTTTCAAACCTGCTCTATGAAAGGCCATGTTCATCTCTATGAGTTGAATGGAAATATCCGAAAGAAATTTCTGGGAATGCTGCTGTCTAGTGTTTATACGAATTCACGCTTCCAACGAAATCCTCAAAGCAATCCAAATATCCACTTGCAGAATCCACAAAAAGAGTGTTTCAAAACTGCTCTATCAATAGAAAGGTTCAACTCTTTTAGTTGAGTACACACATCACGAACAAGTTTCTGAGAATGCTTCTGTCTGGCTTTTATTGGAAGACGTTTCCTTTTCACCAAAGGCATCAAAGCGCTCCAAATGTCCACTTCCAGATTCTTCCAAAAGAGTGTTTCAAACGTGCTCAAAGTAAGGGAATGTTCAACTCTGTGACTTGAATGCAGATATCACCAAGTAGTTTCTAATAGTGCTTCTGTCTAGATTTTAGATGATGATATTCCCGTTTCCAACGAAATCGTTAGAGCTATCCAAATATCCACTTACAGTTTCTACAAAAAGAGTGTTTCCAAACTGCTGCATCAAAAGAAAGGTTCAACTCTGTTGGTTGAGGACACACATCAGAAAGAAGTTTGTGAGAATGCTTCTGTCTAGATTTTGTATGACGATATTCCCTTTTCCAACGATATCGTTAAAGCAATCTAAATATCCATTTGCAGAATCCACAAAAATAGAGTTTCAAAGCTGCTCTGTAAAAAGAAAGGTTCCACTCTGTTAGCTGAGTACACACATCACAAACTTGTTTCTCAGAATCCTTCTGTCTCGTTTTTATGGGAAGATATTTACTTTTTCACCGTAGGCATCAAAGCGCTCCAAATGTCCACATCCAGATACTCCACAAAGAGTGTTTCAAACCTGCTCTATGAAAGGGAATCTTCAACTCTATGAGTTGAATGCAGACATCAGAAAGAAATTTCTGAGAATGCTGCTGTCTAAATTTTATTTGAATTCCCGCTTCCAACGAAATCCTCCAAGCTATCCAAATATCCTCCTGCATTTTCCACAAAAAGAGCGTTTCAAAACTGCTCTATCAATAGAAATGTTCAACTCCTTTGGCTGGGTACACACATCACAAACAAGTTTCTGAGAATGCTTCTGTCTAGTTTTTATGGGAAGACATTCCCCTTTTCACCAAAGGCATCAAAGCGCTCCAAATGTCCACTTCCAGACACTACAAAAAGAGTGTTTCAAACGTGCTCTAAGAAAGCGAATGTTCAACTCTGTGACTTGAATGCAGATATCACAAAGCAGTTTCTGAGAGGGCTTCTGTCTAGATTTTAGATGATGATATTCCCGTTTCCAACGAAATCATTAGAGCTATCCAAATATCCACTTACAGTTTCTACAAAAAGAGTGTTTCCAAACTGCTGCATCAAAAGAGAGGTTCCACTCTGTTAGCTGAGTACACACATCACAAACTTGTTTCTCAGAATCCTTCTGTCTCGTTTTTATGGGAAGATATTTACTTTTTCACCGTAGGCATCAAAGCGCTCCAAATGTCCACATCCAGATACTCCAGAAAGAGTGTTTCAAACATGCTCTATGAAAGGGAATCTTCAACTCTATGAGTTGAATGCAGACATCAGAAAGAAATTTCTGAGAATGCTGCTGTCTACCTTTTATTTGAATTCCCGCTTCCAACGAAATCCTCCAAGCTATCCAAATATCCACTTGCAGATTCCACAAAAAGAGTGTTTCAAAACTGCTCTCTATCAATGGCAAAGTTCAACTCTGTTAGTTGAGGACACATATCACCAACAAGTTTCTGAGAATGCTCTGTCTATTTTTTATGGGAAGATATTTCCTTTTTCAGCGTAGGCGTCAAGGCGATCGAAATGTCCACTTCCACAAACTACAAAAAGAGTGTTTCAAACCTGCTCTATGAAAGGCCATGTTCATCCTGCTATGAGTTGAATGGAAATATCCGAAAGAAATTTCCTGGGAATGCTGGCTGTCTACCTTTTATTTGAATTCCCGCTTCCAACGAAATCCTCCAAGGTATCCAAATATCCACCTGCATTTTCCACAAAAAGAGTATTTCAAAACTGTTCTATCAATAGAAATGTTCAACTCCTTTGGCTGGGTACACACATCACAAACAAGTTTCTGAGAATGCTTCTGTCTGGCTTTTATTGGAAGACGTTTCCTTTTCACCAAAGGCATCAAAGCGCTCCAAATGTCCACTTCCAGATTCTTCCAAAAGAGTGTTTCAAACGTGCTCAAAGTAAGGGAATGTTCAACTCTGTGACTTGAATGCAGATATCACCAAGTAGTTTCTAATAGTGCTTCTGTCTAGATTTTAGATGATGATATTCCCGTTTCCAACGAAATCGTTAGAGCTATCCAAATATCCACTTACAGTTTCTACAAAAAGAGTGTTTCCAAACTGCTGCATCAAAAGAAAGGTTCAACTCTGTTAGTTGAGGACACACATCACAAAGAAGTTTGTGAGAATGCTTCTGTCTAGATTTTGTATGACGATATTCCCTTTTCCAACGATATCGTTAAGGCAACCTAAATATCAATTTGCAGAATCCACAAAAATAGAGTTTCAAAGCTGCTCTGTAAAAAGAAAGGTTCCACTCTGTTAGCTGAGTACACACATCACAAACTTGTTTCTGAGAATCCTTCTGTCTCGTTTTTATGGGAAGATATTTACTTTTCCACCGTAGGCATCAAAGCGCTCCAAATGTCCACATCCAGATACTCCAGAACGAGTGTTTCAAACCTGCTCTATGAAAGGGAATCTTCAACTCTATGAGTTGAATGCAGACATCAGAAAGAAATTTCTGAGAATGCTGCTGTCTACCTTTTATTTGAATTCCCGCTTCCAACGAAATCCTCCAAGCTATCCAAATATCCACCTGCATTTTCCACAAAAAGAGTGTTTCAAACCTGCTCTATCAATAGAAATGTTCAACTCCTTTGGCTGGGTACACACATCACAAACAAGTTTCTGAGAATGCTTCTGTCTAGTTTTTATGGGAAGACATTCCCTTTTTCACCAAAGGCATCAAAGCGCTCCAAATGTCCACTTCCAGACACTACAAAAAGAGTGTTTCCAACGTGCTCTAAGAAAGCGAATGTTCAATTCTGTGACTTGAATGCAGATATCACAAAGTAGTTTCTAATAGTGCTTCTGTCTAGATTTTAGATGATGATATTCCCGTTTCCAACGAAATCGTTAGAGCTATCCAAATATCCACTTACAGTTTCTACAAAAAGAGTGTTTCCAAACTGCTGAATCAAAAGAAAGGTTCAACTCTGTTAGTTGAGGACACACATCACAAAGAAGTTTGTGAGAATGCTTCTTTCTCGTTTTTATGGGAAGATATTTACTTTTTCACCGTAGGCATCAAAGCGCTCCAAATGTCCACATCCAGATACTCCAGAAAGAGTGTTTCAAACCTGCTCTATGAAAGGGAATCTTCAACTCTATGAGTTGAATGCAGACATCAGAAAGAAATTTCTGAGAATGCTGCTGTCTACCTTTTATTTGAATTCCCGCTTCCAACGAAATCCTCCAAGCTATCCAAATATCCACTTGCAGATTCCACAAAAAGAGTGTTTCAAAACTGCTCTCTATCAATGGCAAAGTTCAACTCTGTTAGTTGAGGACACATATCACCAACAAGTTTCTGAGAATGCTTCTGTCTATTTTTTATGGGAAGAATTTCCTTTTTCACCGTAGGCGTCAAGGCGATCGAAATGTCCACTTCCACAAACTACAAAAAGAGTGTTTCAAACCTGCTCTATGAAAGGCCATGTTCATCTCTATGAGTCGAATGGAAATATCCGAAAGAAATTTCTGGGAATGCTGCTGTCTAGTTTTTATACGAATTCCCGCTTCCAACGAAATCCTCAAAGCAATCCAAATATCCACTTGCAGAATCCACAAAAAGAGTGTTTCAAAACTGCTCTATCAATAGAAAGGTTCAACTCTTTTAGTTGAGTACACACATCACAAACAAGTTTCTGAGAATGCTTCTGTCTCGTTTTTATGGGAAGATATTTACTTTTCCACCGTAGGCATGAAAGCGCTCCAAATGTCCACTTCCAGATTCTTCCAAAAGAGTGTTTCAAACGTGCTCAAAGTAAGGGAATGTTCAACTCTGTGACTTGAATGCAGATATCACCAAGTAGTTTCTAATAGTGCTTCTGTCTAGATTTTAGATGATGATATTCCCGTTTCCAACGAAATCGTTAGAGCTATCCAAATATCCAGTTACAGTTTCTACCAAAAGGGTGTTTCCAAATTGCTGCATCAAAAGAAAGGTTCAACTCTGTTAGTTGAGGACACACATCACAAAGAAGTTTGTGAGAATGCTTCTGTCTAGATTTTGTATGAGGATATTCCCTTTTCCAACGATATCGTTAAAGCAATCTAAATATCAATTTGCAGAATCCACAAAACTAGAGTTTCAAAGCTGCTCTGTTAAAAGAAAGGTTCCACTCTGTTAGCTGAGTACACACATCACAAACTTGTTTCTGAGAATCCTTCTGTCTCGTTTTTATGGGAAGATATTTACTTTTCCACCGTAGGCATCAAAGCGCTCCAAATGTCCACATCCAGATACTCCAGAACGAGTGTTTCAAACCTGCTCTATGAAAGGGAATCTTCAACTCTATGAGTTGAATGCAGACATCAGAAAGAAATTTCTGAGAATGCTGCTGTCTAGCTTTTATTTGAATTCCCGCTTCCAACGAAATCCTCCAAGCTATCCAAATATCCACCTGCATTTTCCACAACAAGAGTGTTTCAAAACTGCTGTATCAATAGAAATGTTCAACTCCTTTGGCTGGGTACACACATCACAAACAAGTTTCTGAGAATGCTTCTGCCTAGTTTTTATGGGAAGACATTCCCTTTTTCACCAAAGGCATCAAAGCGCTCCAAATGTCCACTTCCAGCCACTACAAAAAGAGTGTTTCAAACGTGCTCTAAGAAAGCGAATGTTCAACTCTGTGACTTGAGTGCAGATATCACAAAGTAGTTTCTGAGAGTGCTTCTGTCTAGATTTTAGATGATGATATTCCCGTTTCCAAAGAAATCATTAGAGCTATCCAAATATCCACTTACAGTTTCTACAAAAAGAGTGTTTCCAAACTGCTGCATCAAAACAGAGGTTCCACTCTGTTAGCTGAGTACACACATCACAAACTTGTTTCTCAGAATCCTTCTGTCTCGTTTTTATGGGAAGATATTTACTTTTTCACCGTAGGCATCAAAGCGCTCCAAATGTCCACATCCAGATACTACAGAAAGAGTATTTCAAACCTGCCCTATGAAAGGGAATGTTCAACTCTATGAGTTGAATGCAGACATCAGAAAGAAATTTCTGAGAATGCTGCTGTCTACCTTTTATTTGAATTCCCGCTTCCAACGAAATCCTCCAAGCTATCCAAATATCCGCTTGCAGATTCCACAAAAAGAGTGTTTCAAAACTGCTCTCTATCAATGGCAAAGTTCAACTCTGTTAGTTGAGGACACATATCACCAACAAGTTTCTGAGAATGCTTCTGTCTATTTTTTATGGGAAGATATTTCCTTTTTCACCGTAGGCGTCAAGGCGATCGAAATGTCCACTTCCACAAACTACAAAAAGAGTGTTTCAAACCTGCTCTATGAAAGGCCATGTTCATCTCTATGAGTTGAATGGAAATATCCGAAAGAAATTTCTGGGAATGCTGCTGTCTAGTGCTTATACGAATTCCCGCTTCCAACGAAATCCTCAAAGCAATCCAAATATCCACTTGCAGAATCCACAAAAAGAGTGTTTCAAAACTGCTCTATCAATAGAAAGGTTCAACTCTTTTAGTTGAGTACACACATCACGAACAAGTTTCTGAGAATGCTTCTTTCTGGCTTTTATTGGAAGACGTTTCCTTTTCACCAAAGGCATCAAAGCGCTCCAAATGTCCACTTCCAGATTCTTCCAAAAGAGTGTTTCAAACGTGCTCGAAGTAAGGGAATGTTCTACTCTGTGACTTGAATGCAGATATCACCAAGTAGTTTCTAATAGTGCTTCTGTCTACATTTTAGATGATGATATTCCCGTTTCCAACGAAATCGTTAGAGCTATCCAAATATCCAGTTACAGTTTCTACCAAAAGGGTGTTTCCAAATTGCTGCATCAAAAGAAAGGTTCAACTCTGTTAGTTGAGGACACACATCACAAAGAAGTTTGTGAGAATGCTTCTGTCTAGATTTTGTATGACCATATTCCCTTTTCCAATGATATCGTTAAAGCAATCTAAATATCAATTTGCAGAATCCACAAAAATAGAGTTTCAAAGCTGCTCTGTAAAAAGAAAGGTTCCACTCTGTTAGCTGAGTACACACATCACAAACTTGTTTCTGAGAATCCTTCTGTCTCGTTTTTATGGGAAGATATTTACTTTTCCACCGTAGGCATCAAAGCGCTCCAAATGTCCACATCCAGATACTCC